>NC_000010.11:85749155-85900671 GCF_000001405.40 Homo sapiens
ATGTTCTTCTAAATTTCTCAGCTTCATTCCAGTGAGTTTGGGGCCATGTGCCTGAGTTCTAACAAATGGGAATGTTAGCAATGGGGTCTCTTGCTTCTGGCTCAGAGCACTTAAGAGCCTGTGTGCTTATCCTTCCATCTCTTCTTTAGTGGCAGCCATATAGTTCACAAGTTGATGGGGTAGAATAACAGGATAGATGTTGCCTGGATCCCTGAGTCACTGCATGGAGAAGACATTCCCTAGAGAAACACCTGGCCACATCAGGCTTTCTGTGAACAAGAAATAAACCTCTATTGCATTAAGCCTCTAAAAATAACAGTCTAGCCTATCCTGACCATAATACATCCCCTACATAGGACACAGAGTGACATTCCAGAAACATAAATCATGTTATACTACTCCTTCATTTAAAATGTTCCCTTGGCACCCATTTAAAATAAGATCCAAATTCCCAAGCATAACCTACAACATTCTATACGATCTGACCACTGCCTAGCTAATAATATCCTATCACTTCCTCCTAGTAATCTAAAACAGCCACACTGGCCCACTTTCTGTTCCTCAGACAGTCCAAAACTATTCCCAGTTTAGAGCCTTTGTACATGCTCTCCTTCTGGAAACATTTTCACCCTAGAACTACTCTTAATAGACTTCTTGCATTAGTCAGTTATCATTTTCCCTAAAGGGATTCCTTATCATCCTAAGTAGACTCCCCTACTAAGTCCTTCTCTGTCCTGTATTCCTATTGTAGTTTTCAATAGTATTCATAACTATATAAAATGATCCAACTTATTTTATTATTTAGTTTCTAAACTTTTATAGATTTCTTGTCTATCTCCCCTCACTGGAATATAAGCTGCATGAGGACAGAGTATTGTTTGACCTATTTTCAGCAGGTCCTTCAGCACTTATTAAAATGCCTGGCACAGAGCAGGCACTCAATAAAAATGAATGATTATTACTATCATTACCATAAATTATAAAGATATGCATACCTATTTTTACAGTTAGCTGAATTCCAACAGGAGCATCTATTCTTAGGTGACTAGGGTGTAGATCTGGAAGAATCTTAATACATGATCATACAGCGCTCTCCCTCAACAAAAATTCAGAGAAGATTCAGCTGTGCTCAAAAGCACACAACTCTTCTGACCCATCACCAGGGAAGAATTTGGTCACCTGATCATCAGCTGTGATTGGCTGAAAGATATGATTACTCCTATTTTAAGAGCAAGGCTTCTGCCCAACCTCATAGGCAGAACAACTTGCAATGTAAAATGTGAATAATTGAAAGGAAAGAAAACCAGAGCAAATACTTTCACAAAGAGAATAAGTAATTAGCTAGCAAGCATGGAAATATGTCCAATCTAATAACATAAAAAGCAAGTTGTCATGTTATGCTATTTCTACTTCGATTTTTGCTTATAAAATATTTTTAAAATGAAATACCTAGCAATGATATCTAGAAATGAGCACAATGACAATACAGGGTAAACTGATACTCTGTGGAAGGTAACATAGCACTATGCATCAAAAGCCTAACAAATATATCTCTTGATCAGTAATTTAAATTCCAGGGAACTATCCTAGGGAAGGACTCCTATAGCTTAATGACAGAAACAAAAGTAATGCACAAAGATGATCATCAGAGAACTAAACATAATGGCCAAAACAAACAAAAAAGGAAACTACCCAAAATCCAATTATATGAGAATTGTAAAGTAGTTACGGTCCACCTCCTGGATATAACAGTAGGCAGCATTAAAAATAATGATCAGAGATTGTATTAACATTAGAAAATATTATGACCCACAATGTTGGATAGTAATTGAATAGGAATCTTGTAACAGTTGAAGAAATGTTCAGGTTGATAGAAATAGAATGTGTTGGATAGGTGGGCCCAGAGGGGGCTCTGGGAGAAAAGGACATGAGATGAGGGAGATTCTAGGTGTTTACATTCTTGCAATCTCAGGAGAGAAGAGAGCCATGAATGTATAAGAATCTAACTAAACGGAGCAGAAAGTCTGGCTGAGCCAGAATTTCGAAGGCACCTCTTCTGGTTGCCCTGGTTACAGGCCCCCTTCTCTTGGTAGTGTTATTATAAATGACACAAGTCACATGCAAATGAAATGAGCAGATATTAGGGTAGCGCCAGGTTGGCTCTAAGAAGCTTTGCCTTGGGACCAGATTTCAAGAAGAGTTTGAGAAGGGTTTGCACAGGAGACAAAGGTGATATTAGAAAGAAAGCATCACATCCAAGATAAGAAAAGACTGCTGCTGAAAGCTTGAGAAAATCATGTCTTCTGCAATCCCATTGAGATAGCCCTCATCACATCAATGGGTCCACATGGCTTCCCTTGTTCAGTCTGGTCCCTTTCGTCACATGGAAGAGGAAGCCTCAGGACCAAAACTTAGTAGAGCTCAATCTCCCCAGTGGCTTTTGAGGGCCCGTATAGGTAAAAGGTGGGGAATGAAAACTATATTATTTAAAAAAGAAAAACATATATTCTTATTACAACCATATACACATTTAATATTATACATGTGTGCACACATATATGTATGGTATGTGGCATGAAGATATATAATAGACAGATCCAAAAATTAATGATTTAAGTAAAAAAATTATTGTTAAATTTATTTAAAATTTAATGCATTTAAAAAACTTTCCATAATGAGCTTGATGTGCTTTTATAATGAGCAAAATTAAGTATGATTTTAAATAAAGTGAAATTTTAAATAATTTTATGCAAGCCCAGGGTTGTGAACTTGCTATGGCCAAGTCAATGACTAGCTGAAAGTAACCATCCCCATATTTCTGCTAGTCAGCCTACTCTGACTAGTCAGGTTAGAGCCACATCTGCCTTCCCAAAATGGCCTTTCTTTAATCCACATTATTTAATGAAGCTTGGAATAGACAAACTGTAGAAAGAGTCGATGACCCTCTTGAGTGTATCTTTATGAGCCTTGTAATTGGTATAAGACCAAAGCACATACAATCTCAGCTCTCCGGCCCTTTATGAGTTAGAATTGGTGGGAAACACATCCCAGAGCTGGCCCTGAGTTCACAGTCTTGGAGACACACTCAAACTGGAGAAAGTCCAGAAATGATGACTTGCACTCACAAGGTAAAATTTGAGACATGACTGACTACCTTTGTGATGTGGAAGGCCTTGGAGGTGACCTCATGCCAAGGTCAAAACATTTCCTGTACATGACCCCTGTGAAAAAATGCTAAGCCTCACACCAATATACGACTGCTTATTTACAAATGATATACATATATATACTAACATATTGTGTATATTACAAAATAGATATAAAATGGAATTTTGACAAGTGGAGATACAGATAAATTTTGTTAAATGTCTTGCCTGACTTGAGAGATCATATTGTAATTAATGAATATTTCAAGACCCAATATATACTTATGGCAAGGTTCATTATTAACCACTATAAATTTGATTTGATATTTTAAATATTCTATTGCTAACTTGGAATTTTTAACCAATTTCCTGTAATACCAGAATATACTGTTATTTTTTCTACCTCATAATATGGCTGACAAGGAGCTGAGACTGAGAGTTAAAGAAATGTCCACTCATCCATTTTCATATTGTAAGCTATGTTTGCCTTTATTAATATTTTCAATCTGTCCATTACTAAAAGGTAACTTTTAAGTTTTTTTCAAATTCCTCTAAGGGTTATTTTAGTTAAAAATCAATATTATACATAAATTCCCTACCAGGTGGATATAAATTATAATACATTACAGCTTATAGAAATCAAATAAAAACTTAGGGCATTCTGGCAAACCATCTGTGTTCTGAAATCCTACTTTTCCCTCGGGTATCTCATGTCCCACACTTCAGTGCTGCTGAGAGTGTGATCCACAGATCGGTGCCAGCCTTCAAACTCTTCCTAGTCTTCAATGAGATAAGCAGAGAAATCAAAAGTGTTTATAAACATCTAGCAATTTCACAGATTACACTATGTCATCTGATTTAACTAGAAGAGGGAGGGACTTGTATTCTGTGTATCTTTAATGTTTTAGAAATTCATTTTATTATACTCTATAAAAATATGGGTTGGTGGAAGATTGAAAATTAAAATAAGTGGTCCTTTACTGCAAATAGTTGAGAAGCACTGCCATGTGTGGCACATGGGCAGACTGACATGTAGACAGTGAGGGCACTGTCAAGCACACAGCAGGCAAGGCCAGGACCAAGGCCTAAATGATTCGGCTGGTAAAGAGATGACAAGCCACTTAAGGATTCAGAGAGTTTATTACTTATATGGACAGAGAGAGGAAGAATAGCCAAACATGCCCACTCCCTGTGTCTTCCTACATGCCAGAAAAGATGACACTAAAACCAAAGGGTCTTGGTGACTGTAACTCCAGCTGTGAGATATCCCATTGCTGGGGAGCCAATTCTAGACTTTATCTGGTCTAAATTACTATAACTTCAGTTGTGGGATACTCCATTGCTGAGAAGCCAATTCTAGACTTCACTTAAGCACTTTTATAGCCTACAGCTATGTCCTGATAGGTGTAGGGCAGAAAGCCTCACACCTCATGAAGTGTAATGAAAAACTGTCTCAGGACAGCCTCCCACGGGGAATAGGAAGGGGAGTGGGAGATGGCCTCATAGCAGCTCCTCAGAGGCCTCCCTTCTTCTTGTGTTCCGGAAGGATTGCAAGGTGATACACCAAGACTTTCATTAGCTGTAGTTTAAGCCTTTGCTTGTATGGCCCTTCTGGACACATACAAGGTCATCAGGCAATCATGGCAAAGCCATTCCCCTATAAGCACCAGTGCTAATGCACATAGCAAATATTGTAAAGCTTAAATTCTTTTCTTAAGTTTTAAGAAAAAAAAACTAAAAAGAAATTTCTAATTTTATCCTCCATCACCCAGTGATGTGACAATTTCACTCATGAGAGCACTGATCTTGTGAAATCTTCATACAAAGCCAGAAATCACATGCCACCAGCCTAAATGACTACCCAGACACTCAACAGATGGGGGGAGGGGACTCACTTCCATCAGAAATGTCATTTTTCAAATGTGGGCAATAGTTCACAGAGTTGTTTCTTCTATCAAAGCATCAATATATTCAGTAATTAAACAAGCATTTATTGAAGGCTGCCACATGCCAGAAACTGACAGGCACAGGTCACAGAAATGAAGTATAGATCCTGTCCTAGAGAAATGTCTGGTCTAGAAGGGAGAAAGATAGAATAAAAGAAAGTAATTAAAATCATGAGTTACATATGAGAAAAAGGTTTGTAGAATGCACTGAGGAGAAACAGAGAAAAGAGTGATCCTCTGAGCATATGAGACTAGGGAAAGGTATGACAAAGAGAGTGAGATATGATTAAAGTTAAAGAGTGAATAGAATTTCCCCAAACAGAGACTTACATAAAGCTCATTACTGATCAAAGAAAGAGCATATGAAAAGCAATGGTGGTAAAAAGAGAGCATACTATGCTCAGAGATACTCTTTTCCCCAAAAACTTCTCATTTCCTTGACTTACATCCAGTGGGCCAAGAGAAAGACAACAAGGCATAATAAATAGAGGCTGGGTTTGGGGGTCAAACTTTGGTTCAAATTCTAGTTCCTCCCCTTGCAGACTGTGTGACCTTGGGCAGGAAACTCTTTGATTCTATTTCTTCACCCACAAAATAATGGAATTAATGCCTACCTACCTTAAAAAGTTATTTATAGGATTAAGAGTAGGCTGCATATAAAATGACTGGCATATTGGAGGTACTAAATTTATTTTTATCATTGTTACAATTTTTCTTAAAGAGCTTGGGATGCTTTTGAATCAGCCTAGTCTTTCTGGTACAGGATGGCCCTCTTGGAATATGAAGCAGCCCGATCATGAGCCTGTGGGTTTTTAGTCTTTTCTTCTCCCTAGTTCCCCCCACTATTCCTTATGAAGCCTGTTTTGGCCGGCCCTTTTTCATAGGCTAGTAGAGGGGCTGCTAGAAAGGGTCCTAGGACTCCAGGCCTGGTCAAACTTGCGCAAGCATTTCAGTTACCTATTGAAGCAAAACAAACCACCCCCAAACCTAATGGCTTCAAGCAGCCACAATGTATTATTTCTAACAGTTCAATGAGCTAATGGAGCCTGCTCCTGGGATTTCATTCAGCTGGAAGATCAATAGGTCCTGGGTTCAGCTGAGCCGGCTGAGATGACTTGGCCTTTCTCTCCACGTGGTTTCCGTCCTTGGTTCTTCAGCGCCTGCCCAGTTCAGGATGGCGTCCAAGGGAACAAAACAGAAGCTGCGTGGTCTCTTGAGGCTCCAGAACTTCTGCAACGTCACTTCTGCCACATGCTAGTGGTCAAAGCAAGTCGCAGGAGTGCCAGGATTCCCAGAGTAAAGCAAAGGACTCTTCTGAAAGGTAAGAGCATCAAATTCACATTGCCAAGGAGGGCGCTCATGCTCTGCTGGCGTGAGAGCGTGAGAAAACCTGAGGCAGCTGGTACCACTCTCACTTCTCAGCCCTTGAAGTGGCACTTCCGCTCGGGCACCCCTGGGCACTCTGCTGGGGCCATAAGCACACGTGTTGGGGCCCTGACACCCTTGCCCAAGAACCCCATTTCCTGGTGACCTAGATGGAAAAGGTCTGGAACAAACTTGAATTACACAGGCCTCTCCCCTGACCCCTGAACTTCCCTCATCTCATCCCTAAAACAAGGAGGTGGGACTCATACCTATCAGAGCCCTTCCCACAGGCCAAAGACATGTTGAGACCCTGCCATGCGCTGGACGCCACTGGTAACAGCTCAGGAACCTTCTCTCACTGTGGTCATCTCTCTCCTACCCTCAGCACCCATTCTCCTTCAACCCCCACCCACATGCAATAGTCCTCCCTTATCTGAGGGGGATACATTATGTTCCAATACCCCCCCTAGTGGGAGCCTGAAACCACAAATAGTACCGAACCCAATTGCCATCAACTGGAACACGTTTCTGTTCATGTTCTTCTCCCATAAATTTAATCCCCTTTTCATCTTAACTAAGCACTTATCATGCACTGTGGCCGTAAATTTGCAGTTTGAGCTGTGAAGAATAAATTTCTTTTTCCTTCTTCACAATTTCATGGATAGAAGATTCGTTCTCGCCGTAGATCTTAGCAACCTCAGCATACAACTTTTTTCTTTCCTTATTATGTCTAGAGCTTTCACCTTTTCACTTAAAGGAAGCACTTTATGGCCTCTCTGTGGCATATCTGAATTGCCAGCAGCACTAATCTTGTACTTTGGGACCATTATTAAGTCAAATAAGGGTTACTTGAACACAAGCATTGAAATCCTAAGACAGACAATCTGATAACCAAGACAGGTACAAAGTGACCGACTGGTAGGCATTATCTACAGTGTGAATACGCTGGACAAAGGGATGATTCATGTCCTAGGTAGGATGGAGCCAGATGGAGTGAGACTTCATCACGTTACTTAAAACAGCACTGCAGTCTAAAACTTACAAATTGTTTATTTCTGGAATTTACCATTTAATATTTTGGGGCCATAGTTGATTGGTTGACTGTGGGTAACTGAAACCATGAAAACTGAAACCGCAAATAAGGGAATACTACTGTATAGACACAGGCATTTGGCCCTCTGTCCATTTGTCACTTACACTGAGCTAACAGTTTTATAGGTTATGCCAGGTATTGCTCTGAGCACTGTACCAATATAAACTCCTCTAATCCTCAAGACAACCTAATGAGGTAGGCACCATTACTGATTCCCTGTACAATGCGGAGACTGAGGCAAAGTGTAGTTTTATAGCTTAAGGATTAATGACCGCCTTTTGGATGAAAATGTTCTCATAGTCTGTCAGCTGCTTTTGTATAGCCCCTCCAAGGATCTACCTTCTAAAATGTACCTGAGTTAAGCATAGGATCTAAGGCATGGTAAGCAAACCAAGCCAACAGGGGGCAAACTTGGGGCGGCAGGGTTCACCCACTCAGCAGATGCTCCTCTACTGAGCTCAGGCACAGCCTCAATGCCTTCAACTCCCCTTCAAGGTTCTACTACCTAATCTCGCTTGGAAGAACAAGCCTCTCACTGAGGAACACCTTCCTGGTCATTATCTGTGGATGAGAAGGAAAGTTTTCCCTATGGCCCAACCCAAGCCGAATGCTTATATGGCTACTGCTGCTGCTGTTGTGAGAACTGTCTTCAGGATGCTGAGAGGATCTGATGCCCAATCTGCACATGGGTGGAGTGAGGGCAGAAAATTCTCCCATCTGTCCATTCTGGGAGTTGGCATGCACAAGAAAACAGACATAATGATCTCTGATCAGGGAGGCAATAAGAGACCACCAAATCTGGGTGGTCTTACAAACATTCAAAGCATCCACAGGATTGTGACTGACATTGTTGTTAAGGGAAAGTGGGAAGAAGCTCACTTTGAGCAGAGTTCAGCAGCATCCTGAATAATGTGACAGAGCCTACTGGGGGACACTAAAGACGAGGAACAGGAGCTGAAGTTGGTCCATGTACTATGTATGGTGGTTGAGCTGAACCAGGTCAAATTCTAGCTCCATCCAAACACACTGTGTGAACCTAAGGATCTTACTGAAATCTCCAAGCCTGCTTTTGCAACTCCAAGGTGGGGACAGTCATTCCTACCTGCTATAAGATTCAATGATAAGCCAACTAAAAAGGGTCTGGTACATTCTTGGAGTTCAGTAAATATTGCAGCATGCTGCTACACTGGCAAGTATTCTAAGGGAAGTGTAAGCTCCAACCAGAACAGAAAGGCCAGGTAGGCAGGGGCCAGGAATTTTATATCGTAACACTCCTGGCACAGCCTCACACAGGCTGACCTTCCTTGGACATTGAGGCAGTCCTTGCAGATACACCAACAGAGGGAGTAGAGCATGGTGGTTAGAGTGCTCCTCTGCACTCCCACTCCTTGATTCCATTTCTGCATCTGTTACTATCTAGCTATAGCATTTGAGGAAAGTTTTATGGCCTCTTTGAACTTCAGATTTTTCATCTGTAAAGTGAAATCTATAACCATTTTAATTATCTTTTGCTGCATTATCAAATAATTGCAAAACTTAGTAGCTTACAACAACAATCACTTTCACTTGTTTTATTTATTTGCTCACTCTTTTGCAGTTTGGACAGAGTTTGACAACAGCTCATCTCTGCTCCATGTGCCATCAGCCAGGGAAAACCACTAGGGGTGGGCAATTTCTTTCCAAGTTGACTTCACTCACATGGCTGGCAAGTTGGTGGGGCTGTGGTTTAGGAGCTCATCAGAGGGTAATTGTTGAGGCCTCAGTTTTCCTCCACATAGCTTCTCCTCATTGTTGAGCCTGGTAGCTTCAGGGTTTTCAAACTTTTTACATGGCATCTGGGTTTCTCCAGAGGGCAAAGTGCAGACTGCCAGGGATCATAAGCACTGTCTCATAGTGTCTCACCATCAGTTCTACCATATCCTGTGGATTAAAGCAGGTATAGCCCTGCCCAAATTCAAGGGTAGGGTACTGCAAAAGTGCGTGGGTACTGGGAGGTATGATTTGATGGGGACCATCAGAATAGTAGCTCACCACAGCCTATCTTCCTCATAGGGCTATGGATAGGATTAAATGTACTAGAGCATCTATGGCACTTGTCAAGTTGTGAGTGACCTGCTAGTACTGAAAGGCAGCACAGTGGAGAGCCTCCCACTATAAGCTGGTGGAACAGACTCCAGACAAGCTGCTCCATTCTCACTGCTCACTAGAGGACAAGCTGCTTAACCCCTGTGTGGTTCGAATTCTTCATCTATTAATATAAAACAGAGATAATAATAGCACTTGCCTTGTAGAATTGTTGTGAGGATTAAATAAGCTGATGTTTGTAAAGTGTTTAAAACCATGCCTAGGACATAGTAAACATGATGGAGATCCCTGCCATTATTATAATCCTAATCAGAGCCAACTCCAGTCTCTGAGTCTTGGTCATGAATCAAGTCCCTGGCATCAACACTTCCCATGAAGCAAAGTGATGACTACAGAGGTGTTGTCTTCCACCTTGTTCCTGGCTGCCCCTTGAGGTCACTGAGGGCCTTTCCCTCTCCCTGCAACCCTGGTGCTCCTTTCCAGGCATCCCAGTATGATGGACCATAGACATTTACTGTTGGATTCTGGACCAGTCCTTGGGCAGCTGCACCCTTAAAACCCTAGAGTCTGGTCAGGTGCTGAATGCAGCTGCTCTTGGGAAAAGACCTGGAGCCCCACTCAAGCTGATCCCCACCACTCTGTCTTACTGAAAAGGATCACACTTGTTGTCTTCTTTTGACTTTATGAACAACCAACTCCCTCTTGGAATATATCTCTCTGACTTTTCCTTGACTGATCAGTGCATGGAAACAACTCTCACTAATCAGAGAGAACTGTCCTCCTGGGTGGTAAAAGGCGATTTGCACAGTGATTGGAAAATAATATTTTTTTATATCTAATCCATAATTAGGTCTTGGAGAAACAAATTAAGTGAAGGCGAAATCATGTTTCTTTAAAGCATGAATACTGATCTGCATAATTATGTACATTTAATGGTTTTAATTTCCAAGGGAAACTATTTTTAAAATGAGTTCGGAAAATGTATTTTTCCCTTCAATTCTATGTCTATAAAGTTAAGTCCCCAGGCTTGATACTGCATTGACCCAACCTGAAATCCTAGCTAATTAGTGATGACATTTTAAACCTAATACAGCAAAAGTATCTTCCACCTCTGAGGGCATCCTGCCATGCCAGGTAAAGAATAAATGCAAGAAAGAGAATCCCCAAAGTGTGGTGCCTGGGGACTTGCTCTCTCTCGCCCCATATCACCATTACATTCTCAAGTCTCCAGGCCTAAGTCTTCTCAGTGGGGCTCTTGATGGTAACAGTTGTGTTATTATGAATATATAAGACAGCATTCTGACATCCATTTTTGTTAGTAGCACCCTATTTTACCTCAGTGAGAGGTGGTGTCATAACAGGAAACTTGCAGTCAGACAGCCCTGCTGACTTAAGTTTGTTTAGGCACGAATAAGATACATGAAAAGTGCTGACCATCAGTTGTTTTTGACCTATATAAATGGCAATTTTATATTGTTCAGCTTTATTAGATGCCTGACATATGGCAAGAACTCAGTAGATTTTAGGTGTTATTATTATTGTCATTGGCCTGATTTGTGCAACTCACTGTAAGTGGAAATAGTGCTACTGCCTACTTTCTAGGTTGTTGGGAAAATTAGATTAAAGTAGATAAGATAATGTGTCTGTCACTCCCCCTGGCACACAAGCCAGTTTCAAAACAATTTAGCTCCTTCTTTTTGCCCATTTTGGGTTTCCACCATTCATTTTCTGCCAGGTAAACTATAACAACTCAACAGAAGTCACAAAGAGCCCTGCATCCTTTAATCATCAAGCCTTTCAGTGTCTTGGAAAAACATATGAGACTGGTCACACACACACAGTATTGGCTAGTGAGACAGAAGTCAACAATGTCAACAATAAGTATACATTTGCAACACGTTCTATAGTGTCTCAAGCACAATTTCCTCAATTTTCCTGTTTTATCTTCCCTAAGGGCTCCAGAAAGTGAGAATTATGCCTGGATTTCCTGTTCAGTAGCCATTCTGCTCTACTGCAGCAATTTGAGGTTCCCTGGCTTTGGTAAAATGTTGTTGCCAGAGCATCAGCAGGGCCATCAAACTTTACCCAAAGCACCAAGATTCTCAGATGATAACACAGGTCAGAAGGCATTTCGTCAAAGTGGACAAATCTGCACTCACACCCATGAGCTGTGGCTTCAGCACCATGCACTGAGAACCCAATAACAGCACCTCTAACCTGAAGTTAAAGCCTTTGGTTTTTCAGTCCTTGATGAATTCTTGGCCAGCTCTTCAAAAAACAAAAAGGCTCTGAGCTCAGCTGAGCAAATTAAAAAGTAACTTTTTACGGGTATCCCAGGAAGAAGGAAGCACTTGCCATGCACTATTTCAATTTTTCCACTCAACAGTGCCTGCCTCCAGTTTTACAATTCTCAATGAGCTCCAAAGAAGCTAACCAGTTAGCTCCTGGTCATATATCAAGTGTCATGTGTTAAACACTAATGGTTTTATCTCACGTCCCCAAACCAAAGATAGCAGCTTTAGAAACAGCTTGTTTGGGCTTCAGCACAATTAGGGATGTGTAGAGAGGAGAAATTGACTCCTGGAGTTCTTTCCAGTTTCTGATCACCCATTCAAACAAGTATTTACTGAGCCCTTTCTATGCAGGTGCTGCATTGGGGACTAGAGAGCCAATGCTAAGCCAAGGACAAGGTCACTGCTCTCACAGTGCCCACGGTGTGCAGAGGTAACAGGCATACAAATTAGCAATTACACCGTTGTGCTGTGCAAGTAAGTGCAGGGCAGCCAACCTAACCCAGCATCATCAGGGGAGGCCCCTAAAGAAGAGGCAATGACAAGGAGTTCTAAACGGTGCTAGCCAGCTTAAGGGAGGAAGCTGGGATAGAGGCCAGGAGACAGATAAAACCACTATGGGTCCCCAGTTGGTCAGCATCCAACAGAACACACTCTGAACACTTTAGGGTGCAAATTGCCATGGTGGCCCCTCTGTCTGCCAGACAGTCCCTATGCCATGCTCCCCCCACACCCCCCAAAACACACACACACTTTCAAAGTCTCATTTGGCGGTTTACTGGATTATTCCAAACCATTCTGCAATTCAGAATTGTGAAGCTACCACAGGAACAGAAAACAAAAGAAATGCTTAAGACAGGGAAACATTGTTATCAGCCTACTTGAAATGTAGTTTGCTCCTCTCCAATATGTTGAAAACATTGAAAAGCCTTCCCAAATATCTCAAACATCTGCTGAGTGGGCCAAATACTTCCTCCCATTTGCTCCACCCACAGTCGCTGTATCCATCATGCTTCAGATTAAGTGACACTCAATTACAACATGTACAATTTTGCACCGCATTCCTCTATCAAGGGCTCATGCTGGAGCAGTCCTTTCCCCACTGTCTCCTGGGTGTGCACAGTGATGTCGATGAAATGCATATGCATGATAATTAAATTTGACATAATTACTTTTCCAAATGATCACTGACACTCCATTGTTCCAAAAGGACTAATCCTCAGAGCTTCCAAACCCAGTCTGGAAATTTCTGGATCTAAATGAGATTTCAAATAATGTAATTTATAATAACCAAGATCCCCAATGAACATTTTAATATATTCTTTCTTTGTTACAGTCATTTGATGGTAAATCCAACTGAATTAGAATTCTCCTAGGGTGTAGAGCTTCCTGTCTGGGGGTGCCAGCTGGGATGTCCCAGACATTCTACTGTGGACCTTGAATTTGTGAGTTGCTCCCCAGTCTGCCCCAATGTGGGAACTGTGCCTCAATCAGCTTTCTCCTTTCAGATAAGCCCTAGACTGCTGCGTGTGCCAGAGAGAGGGCAAAAGGCTGCCAGCTCCCTATCCCTACCTGCTGACCAAAAAAGCGACAGAGGCTTTCACAGACATGAGAAACCAGGAAGAGAGAGGGCAATGGGGAAGAGAAGAAAGTCCCCCTGTCTTGAAGTCGTAACAATGCACAAGTGATCAACTCAGTTTGGAGCGTGGGAAGAAGTGAGTGCCTGTTGTGAGCCAGGTGACTTGTCAGGTGCCTGATACACATTTGCTCACTGATTTAGCAGAATCATCCTAGGAGACAGACAGGAGGCCCCTGAGTAGCCTCAGGGTTAAAACCTAGTCCAAAGTCACAGCTAGGATTTGCAACTATGTGTATAAGACTACAAACCCCACACTATTTCTGGCAACTGGGAAACTGCAGCAGAGCACAGCATCCAGGGATAATGGAGGGGTGGACAGCAAACAGGCAAAGTCCTCCTGTGGTCAGAGCAAGAGTGACGTCCTTCTCCAGAAACTGAGACTTCATTTCTGGGAGAATGGGCATGGAGGACTAGAGTCTTGGTCTTTTTGCCAGTGACCCCAAGTCAGCTGCCCACCTTGCAGTCCTCATCTCATTTTCTTAATTTTCCTACTTGTGCTCTCTGTATTTTACATCTTGGAATAAAGGAAGGCACACCCATCTGCCCAAGGATGCCCACTGAGATAACAGGTCCCAGATACATTTTCTCTTACGAGGAAGAGCAAGCAATACCATCAACTTTTGTGAGGCTGTGAGAGGGCAGGCTGTAGGGGGACCCTTTTGTTCTTCCTCTCACCAAAGCCCCTGGCACACTGATGTCTGACACTCCATTTTCTCATCATACTCTATCCCACTACCTTCTGATTTACATAATGCAACTTATCTCAGGAAATGTTTTCCAAATCCTATGTTGATTTCTCATAACTGTGACAATTTATCTGGTTAGGAAAACTTCAAGTGACAAAACATGACCTGCAGACATCACCAACATGGGTCTCATTTGTAATGCACATTTTTACCTTACTCACTGGAAATGGACAGCACAAATGGCACTCACATGGTGATGCAGGTATCCCTCCTATTTTTAAGCAGTGTCCTCTGCATTTGTTAGAATCATCAGTAGACAGATTTGAGTATGTATAACATTTATTAACTGTAACATTAGCTCTGACATTTCAGTTTAATCAGTGTTACTACAGACAAGTGAAGTAATTCTCTTCTACTCGCACATAAACAGTATTATCTTTTCCTTTCCAAAAGGTACCAATTCATGATCTAAGGCACTTGGGAAATAATTTCATCTCTGTGTGGGGAGGCAGATGAAAAAAATCCAGCAAAGTCTCTGAGAGACTCCATTTAAAGATTAAATAATAGATAAATTACAGATGAGGCCACAGAGAAGGAGCCCTCTGGAGACTGCTGGATTTTTCAATATTAGTTCTTAATAAAAGCCAAAGAGATGCGTTTTCTGCCTGTAAAACTCCAGTTTGTTCAGGAACAGGATGATGAGCCCCTGAAGTGGTGAGTCTTTCCATGAAGAGTGACAGGAGGTGACCAAAATGCTCAGTAAATCCTTCCCAGGCCAAGGGGCAACTGTGTTCAATAATCAGAGGGATCCAGTTTCATTCTAGGCTGCCAAGCACTGACTTCCCTGCAAAGTGATGGTTCTCAAAGGGCAGCACAGAATCCCCCCGAGGAGTGGAATTTTAAGTAGGGGCACATCTGGCAAATGAACTCACCACAGGGCCTCAGGATAAATTCAGAGCCTTCAAATGGCCCCGCATAGCACTTTTTGGTAGCATTCACAAGTCCTCAGTGAAGCCCAAAGTGGGCAGAGAGAGTAAGCCCAGAATGGACAAGGTTCCCCTGGTCCCTTTAAGAACCAGTCATCTTGATGTGGGGAAAGTCAGCCACCTGGGCTGCTGCAGGTGAACCCCGTGCCCTGCAGGGGTCCAGCACAATACAGGGCCCAGGAAATGATGGTTAGACACAGGCACATGTTCTAAAGTTATCCGAAAGCCTCACAAACACATGTGGGCTTTATTTCTGAGTCTAAGTTAGTAAACCCATGACTTCAAGTTTATCTTCCTCTCCACTAAGTTAGTACCTTCATGTCACTCTCAAAAAACAGCTGTTTGTGAAGCTACAGTTTACTCTGCACATAGCTTGCATTGTGTTTAACATTGCATGCATGTCAGCCATAGTACAGGCCCATACACAATTCAAGGAAAAGAGAATGGGAAAATTGAAAACAAAACTCAGGGTTACTTAATTTAAAATTCCACTTGTCTGAAA
Source organism: Homo sapiens (assembly GCF_000001405.40). NCBI lineage: Eukaryota > Metazoa > Chordata > Mammalia > Primates > Hominidae > Homo > Homo sapiens. Next base: position 85,764,895 of record NC_000010.11, read on the forward strand.
ATAGAAAGGGTCATCAGACTATATAACAGAAATGCAGCAGGGATTTTTCTTTGCCCCAAAGAGGACAAAGCAAGTGGTTAGATGGTTTCTTTGAGGATTCCAGTACATCTTTATACCTGATATTTATTTAGAATTTAGGATGGTTGCAGGTGCTGAAAAGAGTAACTGATGTATGAATATATCCCATTTAATCCTCAAAACAACCCCATAATTTTGTATTATGTTGTATTATCTCAATTTTCAAGCAGATGAAACTGAGGCTCATAGAAGTTGAATAACTAGTCCATGGTCACACAGCAAGAAAATGGGTCAACTAGGACATGGTATTTGCTTCTGAATTCCATGTGTAAGTGATCATGATTACCCTTAGAAAGCTCTGCATCCAGAGGGAGATTTAGCTGCACGGGCTGGCTTAGGCCTCAAGACCCTCCTGTTGCTCTGGCAATGCTGATTATCAGGGAAGGTCCTAGCAATGTGTTCCCATGTGTCTCCAGTTTAGTAATATTTGAAAAAGTAGGATACAAGTTGAGCACCTCTAATCTGAAAATGCAAAATCCAAAATGCTCCAAAATGTGAAACATTTTGAGCATTGACATGACACAAATGGAAAATTCTATACCTGACCTCATGTAACACATTGCTGTCAAAATGCAGTCAAAATTTTGTTTCATGCAGAAAATTATTTATGATATTCTATAAAATTACCTTCAGGCCATGCATATAAGGTGTATGTGAAACATAAATGAATCTCATGTTTAGACTTAGGTCCCATCCCCAAGATATCACATTATTTATATGCAAATATTCCCAAATCAGAAAAAATCAGAAATCCAAAACACTTCTGGTCCCAAGCATTTCGGATAAAGAACACTCAATCTGAACTTAACTGGAATCAATTCAGACCACTGTTCCACCCAACTTCCTGTTAGCCACACTTTTTCTTGTATCTACTGCTGTAGGATCCACTGTCAGAAATTTTAGGAAGCTAAGTTTTGGGTCTGAGTTTAGTGGGATACTTTCCCATGGTCTAGTTTCACTTCCATGCATAGAAAACATATTGCTGGCTGCCAGAGGGGGACGATTTTAACTGCTGTCATGCTGACTCAACTGGTCTCATACCACAGAGGTGCACAGGTGAGGTTGTGTCGTGGCAGTACATGTGCTGCAGCCCTGGCATCACAAGTATGTGGTGGTAGAGGAGAAACAAGGTTTGAAATAAACCAAGTAAGAAGCCAGCCATGGAAAAATCTTCCAAATCTTCCACCTCACAAAAGAAACTTGGAAGGGTTTCCTTAAATTTGACAATAGGGACTGGGCACAGTGGCTCACGCCTATAATCCCAGCACTTTGAGAGACTGAGGCGTGAGGACTGCATAAGCCCAAGAGTTCGAGACCAGCTTGGGCAATGTGGTGAAACCCCATTTCTATAGAAAATTTAAAAATTAGCCTGGTGGGGTGGCATGTGCCTGTTGTCACAGTTACTTAGGAGGCTGAAGTGGGAGGATCAATTGAACCCAGGAGGTTGAGGCTGCATTGAGCTGTGCTCACCCCACTGCACTCCACTCTGGGAAACAGAGCGAGATTTGTCTAAAAAAAAATGACAATAGTTTTAAATTTACAACACATTACCAATGATAAGAAACCAAACAAAACTTTTCTAAACAACTACTAATAAAAAACTTTCAATCAACCATACCAGAGGAAAGATGAAATAATCTTGCTCTTCTCTCTATGGGACATTAAATTCAAAAGGATTATCATATGAGGAGAGGATCAAAGAGTAGCCAAAAATGACAGGGGAGAAATTATTATGGAACTGTGTGAAAGGCAGATGATTGTGTGTGTGTGTGTGTGTGTGTGTGTGTGTGTGTGTGTGTATGATTTTGTTGTATCTGTCAGGTTTTTCATGTTTTTTAGTATATTTTATTATAATTTTTTCTCATTAAATATTCACTTTCATACCTGATTTTACATTCACAATTTCATATTCTTTTCCTTAAAGTAAAACCTTTGAAACTGCATACACTTCAAGTCTTAGAAAGCCTGGATCTGCCCTGCCTGTGTGTAACTAGAGGGGAAGAGCCTTCCTCTGTATATGCCAAGAATATATCCATGCCCCTCTTGTTTCCTGTAGTCAAATCCACGTCTGTCATTGTCAAATTCCAATAAGGTTTATAATTTCTTGGGAATGAACATTAGCGCATTTGGCAGAGTTATTCCCAGAACTCGAGATCAGGAGAAGCTGGGCCACTCAGGCACAGCTATTTGTCTTATGAAAGTTGTAGCTAATATTTCCCTTTTTACTTTGACCGCTAGGAAATGTAGAGCCAAGTTGGCGAAATGTAGCAATTGTATAAACTCATATAAGTTACACTTCTATGAGCCTATCCTCCTCCCACACCATCACCCCCAATCCTATCCCCAACTTTATTAATTTCTTGTCCTCCATTACCCAGGCTGCAATTCCACCAGTTATTTTTTTCTGATCCATTTTTGGGTGTGTTAGCTGACTCAAGTTCTTTACTGAATCATATTCATTAAAAATTCAAATAATTTAAATAGCATATCTAATATACAAGCAGCATGCTTATTTTTATGATGGGAAAAAGAACTTTGTTAAATGAATAGATAGACAAATACGACCTGAAAGTTCTGAGTCATTTTCATTTTGCTGAAGTTTTGGGCCTGTTGTTAATCATTCCATGGGCAAGAGTCACTGGGTCAGGGAGATGGAAAAGGGGCAAGGAGGAATTCAAGGGAAAGCGGTGGGCATTTCTTCAGTTGTCTTTTTGTCTTTTCATATGCTTGACAGCTGGCAATTTCCTCTGACTTCATGCACACACTTCCCAAATGTGGCTCCTATTCCACCTTTGATATTTCTTTTGGCTGCTGCACCCATCCCGTCCTGATGCAGAATCATTTGGCAGAAGTTGAAAAGCATGAGATGTTTGTTGAGAGCTCTCTGCTCACAAAAGGCTATGGCTGGTGCCACAGCTATAGTGACTACACAGGCACATTAGACACATTGAGCCTTTACATTGCTGTTTGCAGAAAAAAATCCTGTTGACAAGGGATGCAAACCACAAAAGCTTGGAAAGCAAAATCACAGAGTTAAGAGATGCATAGTAATCCCCAAACAGAACAGGAAATGCAAACCCCAGAGACTTTGGTGGAAAGTTTTCTCACCTTCCCAGGAAATCCCGAGCTAAAATCGATTAAAAGGAAATGAAAGCTGAGAATGTTTTTTCCATGACCAACCCCTAAGGAAGTGTGGAAAATATGAAGTATTCAATAAATGGTGTTGGAATAACTGGATGACCATCTGGAAAAATATTAAGTGGAATCCATTTTTCACACAACACACAATACACCAGGATGAATTCCAAAAAATCAAGGATTTAAACACATCAAATTGAAACTATAAAATTTCTAGAAGGTAACATTGAAAAATTATTTAAAATGTAGAGAGCATAAAAGAAGAAAATAGTAATTGGACTACGTGAAAACCTTCCAAGTGGTAAAAAAAAAATGATAATAACAAAAAGAAAATCCAAAAGACAAACAATATTCTGATGAAAATATTGGCAATGTCCAATGCAAAGGGTAATCTCTTTGATGTATAAAACTCCTATAAATAAACAAGAAAGGCACAGATCAACAATTCAGTTTTTAATCTGGAAAAATTATAAGACTAGCCATTAACAGAAAAGGAAAACAAATGCCTCTAAAACATTTGAAAAGATACACAGCCTCATACAGGATAAAGAAAAATACATTTTTCAATTATTCTGTGTTACCATTTTTCACCTAACAGGTTGGCAAAAATCCCAGTTTGGTAAAGCACTGCAGTAACAAGGCTATAAGGAAATTGGAACCCCAATGCATTGTTGACAGATATAGAAATTGACCCAACATCTGTGGAGGCAACTTGGCAATATTTAGCAAAGTCACAAACACACATATACAAATCCTTGTAACCAGTAATTATATTTTTAGGTATTTTTCTTAAAGTTATTCTCACACACTTGTGAATTAATATATGGTCAAAGTCATTTATTCAATACTCTTTTCAGAAGATTGGAAATAGCTTAAATGTCCATCAATTGGGTGTTGGTAAAATAAATCATGCTCTATTCACTCAAAGGAAAGTATTGTACTTGTAAACAAACAAAAAGACTATAGTAATGTACCTGTAAAAAAAAGAATCAAGAAGTTCTTTCTGAACTAATATGAAAATAACTGCAAGAAAAATGGTGAAGAGGCCATGGAATATTATGCAGCCATAAAAAGGGAATAAAATCATGTCCTTTGCAGCAACATGGGTGCAGCTGGAGGCCATTATCCTAAGCAAATTAATACCAGAACAGAAGACCAAATACTGCATGTTCTCACTCATAAGTGGGAGATAAATGTGGGGTACACATGAATATAAAGATGGCAGGAGCTGGAGCCAAGATGGCTGAATAGGAACAGCTCCGGTCTACAGCTCCCAGCGTGAGCGACACAGAAGACGGGTGATTTCTGCATTTCCATCTGGGGTACCGGGTTCATCTCACTAGGGAGTGCCAGACAGTGGGTGCAGGACAGTGGGTGCAGCACACCATGTGCGAGCCGAAGCAGGGCGAGGCATTGCCTCACTCGGAAGTGCAAGGGGTCAGGGAGTTCCCTTTCCGAGTCAAAGAAAGGGGTAACAGACGGCACCTGGGAAATCGGGTCACACCCACCCCAATACTGTGCTTTTCCAACGGGCTTAAAAAATGGCACACCAGGAGATTATATCCTGCACCTGGCTCGGAGGGTCCTACACCCACGGAGTCTCGCTGATTGCTAACAAAGCAGTCTGAGATCAAACTGCAAGGCGGCAGTGAGGCTGGGGGAGGGGCGCCTGCCATTGCCCAGGCTTGCTTAGGTAAACAAAGCAGCAGGGAAGCTCCAACTGGGTGGAGCCCACCACAGCTCAAGGAGGCCTGCCTGCCTCTGTAGGCTCCACCTCTGGGGGCAGGGCACAGACAAACAAAAACACGGCAGTAACCTCTGCAGACTTAAATGTCCCTGTCTGACAGCTTTGAAGAGAGCAGTGGTTCTCCCAGCATGCAGCTGGAGATCTGAGAACGGGCAGACTGCCTCCTCAAGTGGGACCCTAACCCCTGACCCCTGAGCAGCCTAACTGAGAGGCACCCCCCAGTAGGGGCAGACTGACACCTCACACGGCCGGGTACTCCTCTGAAACAAAACTTCCAGAGGAACGATCGGACAGCAGCATTCGCGGTTCACGAAAATCTGCTGTTCTGCAGCCACCGCTGCTGGTACCCAGGCAAACAGGGTCTGGAGTGGACCTCTAGCAAACTCCAACACACTGGCAGCTGAGGGTCCTGTCTGTTAGAAGGAAAACTAACAAACAGAAAGGACATCCACACCAAAAACCCATCTATACATCACCATCATCAAAGACGAAAAGTAGATAAAACCACAAAGATGGGGAAAAAAAAGAGCAGAAAAACTGGAAACTAAAAAGCAGAGCACCTCTCCTCCTCCAAAGGAATGCAGCTCCTCATGAGCAACGGAACAAAGCTGGACGGAGAATGCCTTTGACAAGTTGAGAGAAGAAGGCTTCAGACGATCAAACTACTCCTAGCTACAGGAGGAAATTCAAACCAAAGGCAAAGAAGTTGAAAACTTTGAAAAAAACTTAGACGAATGTATAACTAGAATAACCAATACAGAGAAGTGCTTAAAGGAACTGATGGAGCTGAAAGCCAAGGCTCGAGAACTACGTGAAGAATGCAGAAGCCTCGGGAGCCGATGCGATCAACTAGAAGAAAGGGTATCAGTGATGGAAGATGAAATGAATGAAATGAAGTGAGAAGGGAAGTTTAGAGAAAAAAGAATAAAAAGAAACGAACAAAGCCTCCAAGAAATATGGGACTATGTGAAAAGACCAAATCTACGTCTGATTGGTGTACCTGAAAGTGACGGGGAGAATGGAACCAAGATGGAAAACACTCTGCAGGGTATTATCCAGGAGAACCCCAGCCTAGCAAGGCAGGCCAACATTCAGATTCAGGAAATACAGAGAACGCCACAAAGATACTCCTCGAGAAGAGCAACTCCAACACACATAATTGTCAGATTCACCAAAGTTGAAATGAAGGAAAAAATGTTAAGGGCAGCCAGAGAGAAAGGTCGGGTTACCCACAAAGGGAAGCCCATCAGACTAACATCGGATCTCTCGGCAGAAACTCTACAAGCCAGAAGAGAGTGGGGGCCAATATTCAACACTCTTAAGGAAAAGAATTTTCAACCCAGAATTTCATATCCAGCCAAACTAAGATTCATAAGTGAAGGAGAAATAAAATACTTTACAGACAAGCAAATGCTGAGAGATTTTGTCACCACGAGGCCTGCCCTGAAAGAGCTCCTGAAGGAAGCACTAAACATGGAAAGGAACAACCGGTACCAGCCACTGCAAAATCATGCCAAATTGTAAAGACCATCGAGGCTAGGAAGAAACTGCATCAACTAACGAGCAAAATAACCAGCTAACATCATAATGACAGGATCAAATTCACACATAACAATATTAACTTTAAATGTAAATGGACTAAATGCTCCAATTAAAAGACACAGACTGGCAAATTGGATAAAGAGTCAAGACCCATCAGTGTGCTGTATTCAGGAAACCCATCTCATGTGCAGAGACACAAATAGGCTCAAAATAAAAGGATAGAGGAAGATCTACCAAGCAAATGGAAAACAAAAAAAGGCAGGGGTTGCAATCCTAGTCTCTGATAAACAGACTTTAAACCAGCAAATATCAAAAGAGACAAAGGCGGCCATTACATAATGGTAAAGGGATCAATTCAACAAGAAGAGCTAACTATCCTAAATATATATGCACCCAATACAGGAGTACCCAGATTCATAAAGCAAGTCCTGAGTGACCTACAAAGAGACTTAGACTCCCACACAATAACAGTGGGAGACTTTAACACCCCACTGTCAACATTAGACAGATCAACGAGACAGAAAGTTAACAAGGATACCCAGGAATTGAACTTAGCTCTGCACCAAGTGGACCTAATAGACATCTACAGAACTCTCCACCCCAAATCAACAGAATATACATTCTTTTCAGCACCACACCACACCTATTCCAAAATTGACCACATAGTTGGAAGGAGAGCTCTCCTCAGCAAATGTAAAAGATAAGAAATCATAACAAACTGTCTCTCAGACCACAGTGCAATCAAACTAGAACTCAGGATTAAGAAACTCACTCAAAACCACTCAACTACATGGAAACTGAACAACCTGCTCCTGAATGACTACTGGGTACATAACGAAATGAAGGCAGAAATAAAGATGTTCTTTGAAACCAACAAGAACAAAGACACAACATACGAGAATCTCTGGGACACATTCAAAGCAGTGTGTAGAGGGAAATTTATAGCACTAAATGCCCACAAGAGAAAGCAGGAAAGATCCAAAATTGACACCCTAATGTCACAATTAAAAGAACTAGAAAAGCAAGAGCAAACACATTCAAAAGCTAGCAGAAGGCAAGAAATAACTAAAATCAGAGCAGAACTGAAGGAAATAGAGACACAAAAAACCCTTCAAAAAATTAATGAATCCAGGAGCTGGTTTTTTGAAAGGATCAACAAAACTGATAGACTGCTAGCAAGACTAATAAAGAAGAAAAGAGAGAAGAAGCAAATAGACGCAATAAAAAATGATAAAAGGGATATCACCACCGATCCCACAGAAATACAAACTACCATCAGAGAATACTATAAACACCTCTACGCAAATAAACTAGAAAATCTAGAAGAAATGGATAAATTCCTCGACACATACACCCTCCCAAGACTAAACTAGGAAGAAGTTGAATCTCTGAATAGACCAATAGCAGGCTCTGAAATTGGGGCAATAATCAATAGCTTATCAACCAAAAAGAGTCCAGGACCAGAAGGATTCACAGCCGAATTCTACCACAGGTACAGGGAGGAACTGGTACCATTCCTTCTGAAACTATTCCAATCAATAGAAAAAGAGGGAATCCTCCCTAACTCATTTTATGAGGCCAGCATCATCCTGATACCAAAGCCGGGCAGAGACAAAACCAAAAAAGACAATTTTAGACCAATATCCTTGATGAACATTGATGCAAAAATCCTCAATAAAATACTGGCAAACCGAATCCAGCAGCACATCAAAAACCTTATCCACCATGATCAAGTGGGCTTCATCCCTGGGATGCCAGGCTGGTTCAATATACACAAATCAATAAATGTAATCCAGCATATAAACAGAACCAAAGACAAAAACCACATGATTATCTCAATAGATGCAGAAAAGGCCTTTGACAAAATTCAACAACCCTTCATGCTAAAAACTCTCAATAAATTAGGTATTGATGGGATGTATCTCAAAATAATAAGAGCTATCTATGACAAGCCCACAGCCAATATCATACTGAATGGGCAAAAACTGGAAGCATTCCCTTTGAAAACTGGCACAAGACAGGGATGCCCCCTCTCACCACTCCTATTCAACATAGTGTTGGAAGTTCTGGCCAGGGCAATTAGGCAAGAGAAGGAAATAAAGGTTATTCAATTAGGAAAAGAGGAAGTCAAATTGTCCCTGTTTGCAGATGACATGATTGTATATCTAGAAAACCCCATTGTCTCAGCCCAAAATCTCCTTAAGCTGATAAGCAACTTCAGCAAAGTCTCAGGATACAAAATCAATGTACAAAAATCACAAGCATTCTTAAATACCAATAACAGGCAAACAGAGAGCCAAATCATGAGTGAACTCTCATTTACAATTGCTTCAAAGAGAATAAAATACCTAGGAATCCAACTTACAAGGAACGTGAAGGACCTCTTCAAGGAGAACTACAAACCACTGCTCAATGAAATGAAAGAGGATACAAAGAAATGGAAGAACATTCCATGCTCATGGCTAGGAAGAATCAATATCATGAAAATGGCCATACTGCCCAAGGTAATTTATAGATTCAATGCCATTCCCATCAAGCTACCAATGACTTTCTTCACAGATTTGGAAAAGACTACTTCAAAGTTCATATGGAACCAAAAGAGAGCCCGCATCGCCAAGTCAATCCTAAGCCAAAAGAACAAAGCTGTAGGCATCACGCTATCTGACTTCAAACTATACTACAAGGCTACAGTCACCAAAACAGCATGGTACTGGTACCAAAACAGAGATAGCGATCAATGGAACAGAACAGAGCCCTCAGAAATAACGCCGCATATCTACAACTATCTGATCTTTGACAAACCTGAGAAAAACAAGCAATGGGGAAAGGATTCCCTATTTAATAAATGGTGCTGGGAAAACTGGCTAGCCATATGTAGAAGGCTGAAACTGGATCCCTTCCTTACACCTTATACAAAAATTAATTCAAGATGGATTAAAGACTTAAATGTTAGACCTAAAACCATAAAAACCCTAGAAGAAAACCTAGGCATTACCATTCAGGACATAGGCATGGGCAAGAACTTCATGTCTAAAACACCAAAAGCAATGGCAACAAAAGCCAAAATTGACAAATGGAATCTAATTAAACTAAAGAGCTTCTGCACAGCAAAAGAAACTACCATCAGAGTGAACAGGCAACCTACAACATGGGAGAAAATTTTCGCAACCTACTCATCTGACAAAGGGCTAATATCCAGAATCTACAATGAACTCAAACAAATTTACAAGAAGAAAACAAACAACCCTATTAAAAAGTGGGCAAAGGACATGAACAGACACTTCTGAAAAGAAGACATTTATGCAGCCAAAAAACACATGAAAAAATGCTCACCATCACTGGCCATCAGAGAAATGCAAATCAAAACCACAATGAGATACCATCTCACACCAGTTAGAATGGCAATCATTAAAAAGTCAGGAAACAACAGGTGCTGGAGAGGATGTGGAGAAATAGGAACACTTTTACACTGTTGGTGGGACCGTAAACTAGTTCAACCATTGTGGAAGTCAGTGTGGCGATTCCTCAGGGATCTAGAACTAGAAATACCATTTGACCCAGCCATCCCATTACTGGGTATATACCCAAAGGACTATAAATCATGCTGCTATAAAGACACATGCAGACGTATGTTTATTGAGGCACTATTCACAATAGCAAAGACTTGGAACCAACCCAAATGTCCATCAATGATAGACTGGATTAAGAAAATGTGGCACATATACACCATGGAATACTATGCAGCCATAAAAAATGATGAGTTCATGTCCTTTGTAGGGATATGGATGAAAGTGGAAATCATCATTCTCAGTAAACTATCACAAGAACAAAAAACCAAACACCACATATTCTCACTCATAGGTGGGAATTGAACAATGAGAACACATGGACACAGGAAGGGGAACATCACACTGTGGGGACTGTTGTGGGGTCGGGGGAGGGAGGAGGGATAGCTTTAGGAGATATACGTGATGCTAAATGATGAGTTAATGGGTGCAGTACACCAGCATGGCACATGTATACATATGTAACTAACCTGCACATTGTGCACATGTACCCTAAAATCTTAAAGTATAATAATAATAAAATAAAATTTAAAAAAAAGATGGCAACAATAGACACTGGGGACTCCTAGAGGAGGAAGGGAGGGGAGAGTGGCAAGTGTTGCAGAACTAACTATTGGGTACTATGCTCACTACCTAGGTAATGAGATCCATCGTAGCCCAAACTTCAGCATCACACAATATAACCATGTAAGAAACCTGCACCTATACCCCCCGAATCTAAAATAATAGTTGAAATCATTTAAAAATTTTAAATTTTTTGTAAAAGAATATTGTTGAAAAGGGGGTTGAGAAATATCTATTCCAATTTATTTGGTTTAAAGAACTGTATATGAGAAAATAACAACATTAGGCATCTCTTCAGGCAGGGTGGAAGTGAGGACTAAACACAAAAGAGTCACTCTCTTTGTGGGTGGGGAGCAGGACTTTCACTATATAATAGTTTTGTTCAAATTTTTGCACCACATGAATATATAATATAATCAAATAGTTTAACAATCAAAACAGATTTAACCTAATGAATTTTTTTAAATATATGTAACTGAGATCAGAAAAAAAAAACATACTCAAAAAAGCATTGGTGGTCTCATTAGTTAGCCAGATGGTCTAGTTAGAAGCCATGCACTGAAGAGACTTGGGTTTGTGTCCCAACCTAGGCACAACACCTCCACGTTCTTAACTACGATGCCCTTGCCTGCTGGAGGAAATGGTTGGTGTAAGGCCTTTGCTGCTCCAAGAGAAGACTACAAAGATAAGCAAGCAGCTCTTGATGTTATGGGCCCAGGAATAAGCACTTCACCTATGCAATGTCAAATAAAAATTAATCCTAAAAACAACCCTTTTTATAAGGGACAGAAGTGAGGCTCAGATCAATTTCATGCTTTCCACAACAAAGAACGTAGAGCAGACAATTGATAGCAGAGAAAAATATAAAAGGTTACTAAATAAATATGAAATACTCTCCCACCTTCTCCACTTAGGAGAAAAATAGAAACACACGCAAGACAGTGCCAGGGTCCTGGCTGGGGCAGAGCTGAGGTCACCTCTCCAGGGAAGTGGCAAGAACTGGGGTGGCCTGTGTTGAGACCTCCACATAGCCAGCAGCCGAGGGGAGGCAGCAGAAGGGGAGATCACTGCTTGGAAGCCACACCTTAGAATGGAGGACTCTACCAAGCGCAGCGACCGCAGCCCTAACTCAGATTGTCAAGCCTCTATGTCAACAAGCAAATGCTACCGGTGATCCAGGTGCCCAACATCCTCTGCCAACGCAGAGGAGGTTGGCCTGCAAGGGCACTGGCTCTCTGAACTGAGTAAAGTGAGGCAGGGATGAAGCTAACAGCCATGTTCTGGCATAGTCCTCAAATCTCTGCTGTGTCCACTGAATCTCAAGTCTGCTAGTCCTTGTGTGGCTTGCTCACTAGCCAAGCTTTCTGGGGACACAGGGAGGCAGAAAGCAGACCACAGTGAGAGGCTAGCAAAGAAATGCATTTGCTACCTATAGCTACAACAAACTGTGGTATTGGCAGCTGAAATCATTATCTGGATAAAAACAAACAGCAAATTTGACAATAAAATGCATTACTTCCCAGTGTAATGGGAAAGGGTCCTATATCAGCACAAACCTCCACCTTCCTCTCTAATTCTCCAACCTAATGTATAATTACAGCTGGGCACCTTCTCCTCTGGCCTACCAACCATGCCCTCTGCCCTAATAAGTGGGCATCTAAATCAGGGAGGTGGGGATGTTCCCAGAATTAGCAGTGGGCAAAGGCCAATGCTACAAAAACCTGGGGTCCACTCTCTCCCCTGGGCCCTCCTTTCTCCCAGCCTGTAATATTTCCAGAAGAGCTTTGCCTACCTCCAGCCTACTGTCCACTCAACAAATCCATTCATATCTTCTAGGAGTCCCCATAATGCCTGTCAACTTTGCTGAACATTGGTATCCTTGGAAGACTTTAAAATAGACTGATGCCTGGCTCCCACACCTGGGCTTATGATTTAAGTAGAATGGGGTAGGACCTGGGCACTGGGATTTTTAAGAGCTTCCAGGTGATTCTAACATACAGCAAGGACTGGAGACCCATGTCATATTGTTGTCTTGTTTTGTTTCTTTGAAGTTCTCATCATGTGTCTTCATAGAAATTACAATCTAATGGAGAAAACAGCCATGATTTCATGTAAAAGGAAATTGCCAATTTACTTGCTTTTTGCCTACTAAAGAGACTTCTCAACTGGTCATAGCTCAGGATAGGAGGATGAACTGACCATGGGACTCTCCCAGTTTTCGCAGTGAAAGTCCTACCTCCCAGGAAATTCCTTAGTCCTGGGCAAATGAGGAATGTTGGTTACCACAGCCAAGGACACAACATCACTCAGCAGTGATAGACAGGCATTCAGCAATCATCAGACACTCTTGTACGCAGAAATTTAGTCCTAATTAAAACTAGGGGGATGATATTGAGGAAAGAATAAATCCACACCCCAAATGTATTTCTGTACATGGTCTATCATCTCAAGACTCATTAATTAACAATTCTTGGGCATCTTGGTGTCAGGTTCTGTTGTCCATGGGATCTGTTGGAAGACACTATGTTCTGTTGTGGAATTCAAGAGATAAATAAAAGATGAAGCTGGAATCAATGGGACTAGAACTACATGGACGAGAAAAGGGGTTCTGAGGAGCACACACAGGGAGCATTGGCACTGGCCCTGGAGGGGCTCTGGAAGTGTCAGAGCAGCTGTGAGAGCTCAGGGGCATGAGATGAACCCGTGTCTGGCACACCTGCTAGACAAGCAGAAACTCCAGTGGGAATCATGATGGGGACCAGGGCCATGCAGTGACAAGGTGAGGAACAGGTGGCTCAGCAAGGTAAGAGGTAGGCCAGAGCAGGGGTTGAGAGGTGGGGACAGCATTGAATGAAGTGTCACTGGGAATGAAATGCCACTCCAGGGCTAGGTTGTCAGGAACCATGTGGTATTCACCCCCAAAAAATAATTCATTGTGCTTCCCTTTTCTGCTCATCATTATAGCGCCCCAGGATAGTGTGATAAGCAAAAAGATACAGTTCCTGACCTCGGAAAACTCACTTTCTAGTGCATGGGAAGAGGAAAAAACAAAACAATTTCAGGGCAAGGAGACAAGTTTGACCTGTGTGCTGTGCTGATGATTTGTATTTTAACTTACACTCAACAGAAAACCAAGAATTCCCAGCAGTAAAAACAACATAGCAAGGTGTTTTAGAGAAACTTCTGAGACAGAAAAAGTATACAAAAAGCCTTCAAAGCTTCTGAGCCAGCTTCCTGAACACCCAGCCTGGAGGCAGATAGTACAGGTCAGACCCTATTTCCAGTCTGCCATGCTGTGGGATCCTGGGTGAGCTATGCCTCCCTTCTGCAAAATGGGGCCAATATCAGTGCTTAATCATGGAAGACCAGACAGATATAGCTGGGAAGAGTGTGGAATAAAGACAGCATCTCCAGGAAATAATAATATTTAGAGGAGGATGAAGGAGAAGAAAGCAGCTATGAAGTCTGAGAAGCAGCCAAGCCTTTAAACAAAAAACAGTTCTGGAAATGATTTAAGTTGTCATTTTTCAAAATGTCTTCAGTGAAGTTAAATACTTTTATTTCTTCATGCTGTTCATGCAACCAAGCTGCTGTTGGAGAAAAGTTGGGTGAAAAAGCTCTGCTGCCTGTCAAGGAAGGAAAATGTAGCTCGGAAGCCCCGGCCCAGGAGGACCTTGTCGAATTTGCTGCTGTTTCTCAGTCTACGAAGGCCTCCAGGCAAACACATAAAGCACATCAAATGGGAACAAGACTCAATTTTTGTTCCCCTGCTTCACTCTACTGGAAAAATCCAAAACCTGCCTTAGGAGAGTGAAATCTCTCTAACTTGATGGGAGTCTTCTCAGTTCTCCTGCCAGGGTTTCATCCCTACCATGTAGTGTAGGCATCAGATGCTCACTGAGTACCCACTGGCTACTGCATGCCAGGCCCTGTGCTCCCAGCAGACATCACCACTCCCAGATGTTTCAGAAGGACAGACACCCAGGTAACGATAGACTCCTTTGCAAATCAGAAAGGACAGGCTCAACTGATCCTCTCCCGGCCCAGGCTGGGCTTTTCTGTTTTAATCAAAATATGTTGAATACCAGAAAGATTGGACAGCATTTGACAGCATTATCCACTCTACAAGCAGAAATGTGACGAGGTTAATTACATCATCTAAAGAGGTCCTAACTGCCCCTTCCAGGCATGTTCTATGAGTTTGCCCCTGAATGAGCAGTCACTAATACCTCCTAATCTCACACAACAGGCACTGGCAATGCAGCCCTGTGGAGATGAAGACGGAAAGGGAAAAGGAAAGTTACACATGGAAATGATGGGTGCTTTCTACGAAGGCACCATGTGCAGGGAAGCAGTCCTTTGCATTTGGACCTGGTTGGCTTTGCATGCTAGCAGAGTCTGTGGGATGTTGGAAAGATGCCTGCCGGAGAAAGGGAAGGGGTAAATGACTAGGGCAGGTGCAGCACCATGCAGATTCTCCATCCCATCTTCTTTCCAGGCACTAGCCCATGTCATGTGCTCCCTTAAGGCTCAGCAGTGCCAAGTCAAGATTGGATGAAATAAAAGGGGCAGAGCAGCTCTACCTCGCACCATGCTTGGCATTGGGAGGACATCTTGAGATCGTTGTCTAATCCCAGCCCTAGAGCATCAGAGCAAATTTACCAGAGAGGAGAGGAGGATCTGCGAGGCCACTGTCCACTCAGAGCCTTGCTGCCATGGGCACTGCAGTCCAGATAGACCAGAACCACAGCCATCAGCAGCTGGGATTCAGAACATGCCCAGATGCAATGGCCACCACATCCCCCACAGATTTACAAACCCAGGCCTACCTGGAGGAGGTAGAGGAGGAAGTGGGGCTGGAGTGAGAAGAACTGGTATAATCTGGTGTTACAGAGAGCCCTGTTTCTCATCCTGCACCACGGGGCAGAAGTCCTGTTTCTCCTAATTACTATTCTGTGACCTTGAGCACATTACTTAACCTCACTCAGCCTCAGCTCCCCCATCACTAGGATGTGGATGATAATCCCTCCTATGGGGCTGCTGCTTACCAGTACTGAGCCGATGTTTTCGAAATGCCTGGCACACCATGGGCCTCATACAAGGTTAGTTATGACAATGGCACTTCTGAGCCAGCTTCCTGAACACCCAGCCTGGAGGCAGATAGTACAGGTCAGACCCTATTTCCACTCTGCCATGCTGTGGGATCCTGGGTGAGCTACGCCTCCCTTCTGTAAAATGGGGTCAATATCAATGCTTAATCATGGAAGTCAAGTCACAGTGGTGTTCTGAGGATTAAATTAGGCATTTGATGCAAAGCCATTCAAAAACTTCCTGGCACATAGTGTTTTATAAATAGTTGTTGCTATTATAATTGCACAAGTGTGGTCTTGTAAAGAGAGACCAGAAAATGCCCTGCTTGGCCCAGGGGTGTGTCCATGGTGAACACCAGAGTGCTTGGAAACCCAGTTTCCAAAGGAGGGCCAAGCAGCCACTGGGCTCAGGAGCCCACTCCTGGGAAGGAATGATTTTCTCTATTACATGAAGTTTCCTCCAATCTCTACAGAGTTTTGGAGGGCTCGCCTGATCTCCCCAACCAGAAGGGGAAATGAAGTAGGTGCTTCTAGGATTAAAAGCTGGCATTTGAATCTCTGCTCACAGATGGAAAGTAAAAGTAGCAGAACCCAATTTTAAAAAATCAATATCAAATTAAGGATAATTTTTCCTCTGCTAGAAGGAGACTAAAGCTAATTCCCCTGGACTTCTGAGTCATAATATCATTTGGGGAAGAACATTTCCCTTCAAATATTGAGACATCTCTGCGTGCTCCCACTATGCCACATAAGCATGATTAGCTCCATCAGAAATTAATCCTTTGTTCCCTGAAATCCATATAGTTACTTTTTTGTAGTATGTTTCTGACAAATGAATAATCTACTTTTGTAAAATACAACATTATTGATTACATGAGCTGCAGTATAGCAGTGGCTGGCCAGTTGCAAACGTGGTGGTTGAGATGATAAAATGCCTGTGTGATGCTGGAGCGTAGGTAACAAGTGGGTGACTGAGGGTCAAACTTTCAGACCACAGCATGTGACTCAGGAAATGCTAACTCATTCCCTCAAGCCTCCTGAGTAAAATCTGTATTTAAAGAGCATCTACTACATGGCTGGCCTCATGTTGGGCATTTTACACAGAGGACAGTGTTATATAAGCCTGTGAAGTAAGTATCATGGCCTTCAATTTCCAATGAAGAAAGAGAGATATATTGTACATTTGAAAAAAAAAAAAACCAAAAACTAGTTCAAGATCACACAGTCAGTAACTTGCTGGGCCTGGATTTATACACAAAAATGTCTGGGCTTAGAATCCATCATCTTAATCACTAGGCCCTGACAAGCTCTTCCAGACCTCAATGGTTATTTAGGAGGCCAGGAATTCTCAACAGTTTAACATTGGTTTGATCTATTTTTGTTAGTCTTTTTTGTCAAAATTAATCTTCCTAAAGGCAAAAAATTTAAAGTTTAATTACAATAAATCCAAATTAATGTTCTCATAATAATTTCATAACATTTTTAAAATGTTTACAAAGCCAGCCAGGTCTGGGAGCTACTGCAATTAGCCCAAAATCACAATAACAGCAATAATACCAATTACGACACTTAACAACTGACCCTCAGACAAGAAATGTGAGTGCACATGCACACACACACACACACACGCACTTACACAGTAATCAGAATCCACATTGTAACATCATGCAAGGAAAATGTTTGGAAAATTGACAATCAATGCCTTTTATGAGATCTCTGTAGGACGGGCAGTATCATTGTCTACTGACAGCTTGAAAACAGAATTTCTTCATTCATTCAACAAATGTTTATTGAGCATGCCAGGCCCTGTTCTAAACCTTGGGGACCCAGCAATTAAAAAAACAAGTAAAAATCACTGCTGTCTTATATGTTACAATTTAGTGAAGGTAGTCTAATACAGGTGTTATATGGGATGAGCAATGGGAAGTGTTAGAGTTGAAATGTTAAGTGAACAAAAGAATCTCATTGAAGAAGAGTTATTTGAGTAAAAACCTTGAAAGATTGGGGGCAGTAAGGCAAATGAGTATCAGGGGAAGGGCATTCTGGGCTGAGGGAGCAGCGAGTGCAAAGGCCCTGACGTAGATGCATGCCTGGTGGGCATAAAATGAGTGCAATACTGCCAGGGCAGCTGCTGTGGAGCCAGGGATGTCACAGGGGACTGGGTCACATGGGCCTCAGAGACTATTCTAGAAAAGATTCAAGTACAAATTAGTGTACGTGCACGTCTAAATCTTCTTCCAGGAGGAATTTTGGGCAGCTGACCCAGTTAATTGCAATAAAAGACACACATTGACATGGGATCAAAAGAAGAAAGAAAATGAATAAGGATGGAAATAAACTACAGCCAGAACGGCACTAGAAATGCCTAAAAAGATGATCTCTCCACGTCTCCAACAGCTGGGCCTCATTTTTCTTCTCAGCCTCCTAGGAGTCACAGTTGGCACAAACAGGGAAATGCTATTCATCACCAAATGCACCATCCCCAGAGAATAAGTGCCAACAACTCAATCTGAGGGATTAAAACTGTTTTTGGCATTGTAATTAGAAAAGACTGTCTCCCGGGGGATCATATATCCAGACTCTGTGAAGCAAAGTGGACAACAGCATCGCTAGCAGCACCCTTGCAATGAAGGCGACAAGAAGCTTCCCAGACCCTGTTTCTTAGGTAAAGTGCAAGGTGCTCAAACCAGTTCTGCCAAGGGTGCAGAGAGGGCTGGGCATCTGAAGGCGCTACTCTCTGACAGAGAGACTGACCACACACAGGTTTATAATATCAAGAAGTGGGGCAAGACCTCTCATCCTTCATGTAATCCTCACCGAATGGAGTTCCTCGAATCTGATTTTATGGACAGAAAGATAGACAGTGAGCTCAGGACTGTCGTGGCATTGCCCAGAAACCCACTGAATATAGCTCTTGTGGTTGCCAGGGGAGGACTAACCTCTGAGGATTCACAGAAAATAAACCAGAATGAAAATGACATACCTTTGTAGGAGCCAAGGATCTTGCTAAAAACACTTCGTCCTTGTGTCATGAGGTGAGCTGAGGATTACCACTGGTGGGAACAGGGATCACTTTAGAAAACTGCCACGAGTCTGCTTCAGTGCACAGACAAATAGGCAATCAGGGACCTGCCCAAAACTCCCTCTCATCCAGCATGGCCAGAATTGTTTTACTCCAAAAAAATATATAAAGCTGTTGTCACCAGAAGCTTACTTGAGCCAAAATAAAACCTCCCAAGAGTACCCAGAGAAGAGCATTCTTTGAGATAGCCTGGCCACTCCCAGGATGCTGCATGTCATGTGGGGGTTATTGGTTAGTTGAGGTTGGGAGATATCGCTGGCATCAGGGGGCCCAGGGCCTTTTAAGAACAAGAGCATGTAATGTTCAGCTTCTTCGTGATTTCCTAGGTGGGGCTGTGATGTAACCACTCTCCAACATGTCAAACCTTCAGCAAAATCTGCTACAGATTAAAAAGGAGCTGGGGAACATCTTGCAAAGGAAATAATGTAAATATTAAGAAAACTGAAACATGGACCTTCTCTTGCAAGAATTATTTTGAGGGTCTAAACAGGAATCATCTAGCTCAAGATGTTAAAAGCATGCCAGATGTAAATTAAAGAACTTTTACTTTCAATAGTGGGGTCTTTGCTCATCTCTGAGGCTCTGACTACATAAACCAATCCTCAAGCCCATAAACACTCCACAGCATGCACCTCAGGTGTGTCCAGGAGGCTAATGGGTAGTACAGACCTCTAGACAGAGGATCAGAGGCCACAGAGGACAATGGGTCAAGGGAGTTCTTCCTAGGGGACAGAACTAGAGTCTGTCCGGGGCACTCTGTCCACCGCCATGGCTAATGTGCTCATGGGGCTTCCCAGGAATTCAGCAACGCCCTGAATGATGGCCGTGCATCTCCCTTTCCCCCTTCTACCAAGTGGGATGCTTACTGCATTTATCCTGTCCCAATTCTAGGACCGTGTCTGGTGTGCTTTGGGAGCATGGACTGCAGACAACCGTGAGCATCAGTTTGCTTGTCTAAGCTCCTGAGTCACAGTACAGCAAGGAGCCCATCTTAAGCTGATGGAGTCCAGAAGTTCTGGGCTTTTGAATGGATCTAGAGGCTGGGTGGGATTTGAAGGTTGTCTGCTTTAAGGACGAGGTGTGCATGCTCTATGTGAGCGAAAATAAATGAAACATTTGGTAAACACAAGGGCTAACTATGGAATAGTGTTTTCACTGGTTATCAAGATTCCTTTTTTTTCTCTGAGCACACAATTGGACTGCATTTTCAGCCTCACTTTCCTGTCCCCATGGCCATGTGACTGAGTTCTGCTCAATGAGATGTGACAGGTGACACTTCTAAGTCTGGCTACACAATTGCAGAGGAGATCCCCGATGCTCTCCCTTGTATGTAGATAGCATAATGTCACCCAGCATGGCTTCTGAACCAGTCATTTGATCTGGGGCCTGGCCTGACTGAGAGGCGCATGCACATGCACACACTTGTGCACCCTAGCAATCAGGAACACTCATTTTGGATTTTACACGAATGAGAAATAAACTGGAACGGGATGGAAATGCTTTTAAACTTACAGGCTAAATATTCAGGTAAGGAATTCACTATGCTGGTCTCTGAACACTCCAAACCTTCACTGAAATTCTGCTGTTGCAGCAGCCCTGTGTTAGAAGCTCCTTTACAAATCAAAGGAAAAGAGTTTGGTTCCACAGTGGTTCAGAGCAAAGCAGAGGAAACAGACCCACAGCAGGAAGCAAAATAATCATAAGATGAATTCCACGGACGCGGAAAGAGACAAGAAAAGTGGGGACTAGGAAGGGGCTTCCCTGAGAATGACCACAGCTCTGCCGTGGCAGGCTTTGGGTTCCCCTCCATAAGCTGGATGAAATCTCAAGCTGTTTTTAAATATTGAAGGGATCATGACTTCTGGAGTCTAAGGCTTCTAGGCTAGACTGAAATATCTGTCTCCTCCAGTCGCCAAGGACAGGCACTGACTTCCTTTTTCAGTGTTCCAGGGACCTAGTAAATTCAGTAAAGCAGCCTCATTGGACTTCATGGTGAAGCCCCGGTAATAAATGGTTTACACCCAACTTTACCACCACAGCCATCTCCACCCCCAGACTCCCAAACCTGAAATCAGGAACTTTATGTGACTCAGGATAAAACCAAAGACAGATTGGCTCTCCTCCACCAGAAGAACAGGCAACAGCAGCCCAAAGTGCATTAAACAAATGCACACACACACATACCCCCACACCCACACACTACACACACCCCACAGACACACACACATCACACGCACACACCACATACACACACGTGTACATACCATACCCACACACTACACAGACACACACACGTACACATACTATACACATACACATACACATGCACATACCACAGACACATACACACCATATACATACATATGCACACACAATCTCTAGCCCAGCTACATCATGCTGTATAAAATGAATTTTTTTCATGATATTCCCCCAAGTAGTTATCTTTCCAAATTACAGAGGCAGTGAGACCTGATTCATGAAGGGAAAGCTGCCTGAATCAATAGCCAGCCTAAGTGACACGATATGATTTTAGTGTGATTTCTACATCATTCACCAAGCACTCATTAGGCACCAACCACACACCAGACACTGCACTTGGCATCTGAGAAACTGGGCGCTGAGGGCATGATCCCTGTTCCCAAAAGGGTTTGTAGCAGCTGCCATGCTGGCTCTAGGATTCAAGATAACCTGTTCCGAGGGAAGTCACTAAACTCTAGCATTGATGTGACAACCCCTGCTCTTTCCTGGTTGCTCAGTGGTCCACCCCCTGCAGGCATGCCGGACTCCACAGGGCAGCAGGGTGCCTCAGGAGGGCAGCAAAGGGCTGGAGAGGAGCACATTGGAACCACGTGGGCCCGCAAGGCATAGCTTTCTCCCCGACATCCCTCCCACCCTGCTGCCTCACCCAGGGGCTTATTTCTATTGGCAATCTCAGTAGTGCACATCCACATTTAGATAAGCGGCACTAAAATAAAATGGACTGTAATTATTGTTATAGATTACAGTAATTACAGATGGGAAAGGGCCGATTAGATTAGCATGCCCCACCCCCCGCCAGGACCCGGCTGATAGGAAGGAGATTTGTGCAGAAGGCAATGAACCTGCTGCGAGTGTTGGGTGTCACTATGGCCTCCCAGGGCCCAGGCTGCAAAGGGCAGGGCGTGGAGGAGGGGTGGTGGGAGGGAGAAGCTTTCAACCTGAAAATAAACCAGCCATTAAGAAATGGGGCCTCTCTCCAGCCTGCCTGGAGGTCACACCTGTGAGAGCTGGGGGCAGAGCCATGGCTGGGGCTTGCCCCAGGGCTCCCCCTCTGCCTCCCAGCTGCCATCCACCATCTCCCATCAATGCCTTGCAGCCCTGGTTAGAGCACAGCACCCATGGAAGACGACTGTGACATTGAGTGAGTTACTTATACACTCTCTGAGCCTTGTTCCCATTGGTAGCTGAAGAGACCATTCCCATTCATGCAGTGTGGTGGTGAGATCACAGACATAGTGAATCCAGGACAGTCCTGGAAGGGTTTGGTAAATGTGCCTGCCCCTGCCCTGGCCACTCCCAGGTATCCAGTTGGGCCTACTGGTGCTGACATCCTCATTGCCTGGATCTGAACACTCTGTCCTCAGGTCCATCTTGGCCATGCACTCTGCTTTTTCCTCTGAGTCTGCTGTCCACCTGGACCCAGTTCATAAGAGGTCCTGTGGGTGAAGCTAGCGGCCTGAGTAGCTCCTGCCATGTCCTGGGGCTGGGCACCCACCTCCCTGCTGGATTTGAAAAATGTAGGCCTCATTCCTCTCACTCATCCCTCCCACAGGAACTGGAGCTCTGCTTTGAATCCTGGGAGGGAACAACAAGGGGCTGATGTCGTGGGTGTCTCCTGCCCAGCCAGCTCCATTTCCCTTCCAAGAGCCTGCCCAGCTCTGTGACATCCACTGCTTCTGAGACACACAGGACCACCCACTCGTGTGGACCACAGTGGAGCCAGGTAAATCCTCAGCTCAGCACACTGCCCAGTTGCATCCCCACCATCACCCAGCCGGCCTAAATGGGTGGGTCTGCTGCCAAGCCCACCCCGCCTTGCCCCTCTCTGCTGCTGTGCCCTGCTGTCATCTGACAGCCAGGGGCCCCCACACCACCAGCCACTCCCTCTCTCCGGTTTCTTTCTACTCCCGATGCTTCTGCTCCTGGGACTGAGAAGGTCCCCAGTGGCTCACAGAATCCATTTCCAAATCCCTCCCCAGGGTCTGGCCCTGGTTCCGCTCTTTGCTCTTGTCTCCTGTTACCCCTGCAAAATACTGAGCACATCACAAGGATCTGCTAACTCATCGGTCACCCTCTGGAGACTATAAACTTCACAAAAAAAAAAAGAAAAGAAAAGAAAAAGAAGTTATTTTGCCTTTTAATTACCCCTTAGCAGAATGTCTGACACACAGCAGACACCAATTAAGAGCTGATGAATGAGGGGGAAAAAAAATCAGGAATTATTGACTGCCTAGATGCTTGCCAGCCTTTTCCTTTCATGGTTTGCTCTTTCTCTGTGGGAGAAACTTTTCTTATAAAACATGGCCAAGGCAGGGAGGCGCAGTGAGCCTGGCCAGAAGAGGCTCACGGTTGTCCGCAGTCCATGCTCCCAAAGCACACTTTGGAAGCCCCTCTATTCCTACTTAGCACTTAATTATTATGTTTAGGTGTGTTCTTTCTTATGGTCTTGTCTCCCCTAAAGAGTGGGGTCCCCATTAAAGCAGGGATGAGTCTGTCTGCCCACGGTCTTATCTGTAACATCAACCAATGTGGCTGGCCCACAGTGGGGCCAGTGAAGTTTTCTTGGCCAACCTCATGAATTTACTCCACAGTGACAGGCAAACCCTAATTGTCCCACACATAAGTCATTACCCACAGACTTTTTCAGGCCTGAGTAGAGGTCTGGGAAGTCTCGTCATCTTCTGGGTCACTGATTTATTCTTCCGTTAGGAAAGTCTTGCACTGTGAAATGGGACCTGTTTGCCTCCTCACTGTGGCTAGTTGGAGGTGCACAGGCACATATGGAGTGTCTGGAGCTGACCTCTAGCAACTAATCAAGTCCTTCGCAGATGAGTTGCTGAGCACCAGACTGCACCAGCCAGGAGGGCTTTCAGCTGCTTTGGAGATGTCAGCCCAAGTTAGGACTTGGCTGAGAAATAAAACTAAGCTAGAGAACTCGGGGTCAGTGGGAGGTAGGGTGGGTACATGCATTTGTATACTTAGCTTTCCACCAGTTTCATCTTGCATCTCTGCCCTCATTTTCTCTTTGCCCTAATTTCCCCCATTTCTTGATTAAGAGGGAAAAAAAACAAAAGATACCTCCCATTGTACATTAAGTGTTTCTGTAAACTGTCAGAAATCCTTTTCGGGAAGGAGGCAGAATATAAATAAGTAAATATAAATAAATAAATGAGCTTTGTCTTCTTCCCCCAGGGTGCCCCCTCTGCTTGGATTCAGGTCATCTACATGTCTATTTATGATCTATTTTCAAATTTCAGGATTGTGACTGTGTAAGCAGGAACCACAGAGCTGGCTCTGGAGCCAAGACACCTGCCAAAGCTGACACTGCACAGAGTACCGCCATCCGTGTGCAGGCTGGTGCCCACCCAGAGGGCCCTGGGGAAGATGCCAGAGCAGCCGCAGTGTGGAGAGGACCTGTGAGCACTCCAGACTGGGCAGCACTATCCAGGAGAATCATGGATAATATAGAGGTGTCTCTCTCCCTGGGTCTCAGCTTGAATTTATAGAACATGGCAGCTTGGAAGAAAGACCACCTCTTAGGGTGAAAATGGGTCTCAAAGCTCCCTGTGCAGTGCCCAGATCCAAGTATGCTTCCTATTATTAAACAGCCCCTCTGGTGACACAGGCAGGCTTCAGAGGATGCCCTTTCAGCTGTAGCTTTATGAATTCCTTTGCCACAATTAAAGCAGCAAACACTTTCAGGTTTCACAGCTGAGAGGAAGGAACCAGGCTGGCTTCAGAACTGCCCATGGATGGGACAATCCCCCAGGAACCCAGGAGATTTAGGGGCCTCACAGTCAGGGTAGCAGAGGCCAAGAGCAGGGGGTGGGTCCTGAACATCCCCACACTGTGGCACTGTGATCTCATTCAATGCAAACCTACAGTCCAAACACAAGTGCAGTTTGCAAGTCTGAGTGATCAGGCCCTGGGACCCTCTGGCTTCCCCCAGGCTGAAGAGCCCCAAGTTCTGCAGTGGCAGCACCCGCCCTCATGGCTCTTGGCATCCACACCTGCTCTTCCATCTCCGGAGAGCCCTCTCCCTTTTCCTGACTCTGCCTCTGGCCTCAGCTTAGATTTACTTTGTCTGGAAGCTTTTCCCAGTGGGCAATTCATCCTCCTCCAGCCAGGCTGGGACCACTGCTGCATGTTCCTGGGTCCACCCACCTCTCCTATCACAGCGCTCCAGCATGACTGAGCCTGTCCACCAAAGCGGGTGAGGGCCAGCCCCAGATGTGGGAGGACAAGGCTGTGTTTCCCTTCGTCCCCTGTCATTCCCCAGCACCTGAATCCATGACTGGCAGATACCAGGAACTCAATAAATATAGACGGAACAAGAGAATGATTAAATGAGATGACACAGAGGCTGCCAAGCCCCAGCAGTTTGTCACTAGGCAATTGTCCTCAGGGGACCTGGCTCCACACCCAGAGGCCATTTCAGGCCTTGGGAAAGGGAAACTGGAAAGAAACAAACAAGGTCTGCATCTGTGAGGAGACTGCAGGACAGGCAGATGATGAAGGAGATTCAGAGTGGGGCAAAAGGATGTTTCTATCAAAGGAAGGTCCTGTCTGGGCAGAGGGAGTGGGGGGAAGGGTGTGGAGTTCAGGCCATGTCAGTATGGGGCACCAGGGGATGCTGGGGTCACTAGGTTTGGGGCAGGCCCTGTCCTGAGTCAGACCAGGAGCCTCCTGGCAGGGAGCAGCCAGGCCCTTGGTCCCCTCGCCTTCTGTCTGGGTCAGGTGCATATGAGAATGGTCACCTCCCTGCTCTATGATTGGGCATCTGAGACAGAGAACAGCAGTGGCTGACTGTGCAGGGCCACCCGGCTTCTCAACCACCCGCTCCTCACAACCTCTCAAGTGCCTTGACCAAGCCCTTGTCCTGGCTGCACAGGACCCTCTCTCCCCAGCTCCTCTGCTCTTTAGAGACCAGGCACAGCCCCGCTCTCTCTGAGCAGAGTAGAGAAACTTGCTGGGATTTGGTTCTAGCCTTCCTGAGGGCCTGGGGGCAACACACTCTACTGCCTCCATGGTTATCTACTCCCCTTCTAATCCTGCCTTTCCCAGAGACAACGAGTGACTTCATCCCTAGCGATGGCCACCCATGGTGACAGAAGCACACCAGACAGGCAGTGACACCCAATATCGATACCCACCTGGCAGCTCAGGTCCGAGCAGAACACAGATGTCCTCAGATAAGAGCATTTCAGGGAGCCCACAGACGACGTGACTGAGTCCAGGTTGGCCCCCAAATCCAACAGGAGGCCAAGCAAGGCAGAAACTGTGTTGTGGTTTCCAGCCACACCCAGGCCATGAAAGATGCCCCATGGCGAGATGGAGCACAGGACCTGAAGGCAGAGGCCAAAACCCTGACTGGCGCAATGCAGATCTTAGAAGAATTTTCTGAAAGTTCCCTTCCATTTTGAATCCTGAAAATTATGGAGAGATACACATCCAGGACAAAGTGAATCAAAAACTTGGAAAGAGAGAACTCACCAATTCTCACAGAAGCCAAGGACGGCCCCAGCAAGCTCCTGACCCTGGTCCCCAGTCCCTCCCTACACTTTCTGAAACAGGGAGCCAGCTCTCTTTGAAGGTGAATGATAACCAGAAAGAAAGTGACAATATATATATGAACAGAATGTCCCCAAATCATGAGTAAGGGAGGGAGAAGCCAGCATGGGGAGAAAAGCAGATAAAGAAAATGTAACAATCGATCACAAGGAATTATCTCTTAGGGGAAAAAAGATTAATAGTTCAGGCAAATATTCTCCCCAGTCTCAAAAAAGTTACAGAGAACATGGTCTCTTGAAGGAAAAAGAAATCTAAGAAGAGATACAAGAGTTCAAAGAAGAGATTATAAAACAACAGACAGAGATGAAAAGCAAATAGTTCAGCTTAGGGAAGAGACAAAGCCAGGGGACCCTGGGCTTTTGTGCAGGGGGCATAGGGAGAGGGCTGGGCTGTGGTCCAATGGGGAAGATGCAGTGTCAGAAATAAGAGAAGCAGCTGAGTCCCTGGGGCCCCCAGGCAGGAGGCCAGGGAGCCAGTCCAAAAGAGTGTCCTCACCTTAGGTTCTGGAAGCCTAAGTGTATTCATGAGCTAGTGCATAACTTAAGTTATCTACCCAAGCTGGCCAAACCACAGAGCATGGCTTTCCCCAAATCCTCCTGCCACAGGCCTGGGACCTCAGCCTCCCTGAAACCATCATCTACACCATTGAAGGATTATGCCTCAACTGCCAGTGCCACCAGAGATCCGCCCTGATGCTCGAAGCTCCTGACGGTGGCAGCAGTCGCAGCCACAGCAGCAGGAAGAAACAAGTTGTAGCTGTCAGCTCTAAAATGCAGACAGTGTTGTCCCCATCTCTGGATGATGCCACAGCACTTGGGGCCTCAAATAAATCCTGTATTCATATTTCCACCAGTGGAGGGAGCCCTGGCGAGGTGCCTTTCAATATTTTTAAAATGATTTTCACTCTTGGCTGCACTTCATAAGTCATCAGACACTGGAAGCCAGAATCCTCTTTCTTGCTGGAATGATTTGTTCTCTGGCAGGATATAGGGTTTATGACTCTGGAGGAATCCAGCTTGAGATCTGAGCTGAGAGGTGCCGAAGGCCTCAGGATCCTGGTCTCTCTCTTTCCACTCCTCACAATGCTGGCTAAATGAAGTGACTGCTGCAGCTCTGTCCAAGCACCCAGATCCATGGGGCAGGTTCAAAGGCAGGGCCACTCCAGACCTCTCAGGAAGCTGTGTTCTTCCTCTCAAGCTCGAAGCCTCTTCCTCCTGGTATCCCAGTGGAATGATGGAAATGACACCCAGAGTCCTGCAGGGAGTAGGCCACAATGACCCTTATTCTGAGTTCCCGTCAGAGTACTTACAGGGCTCTGAGAAGGTGGGCCAGCAGAGCAGACAGAGAAGTGTCAGCAGGAGCACTTGCCTGTCACAATGATGGCAGTGAGGAAGGCATGAAACATTTCAGATTAAGTCAGATGCCTACTCCGATGTCATCAGTACCTGCTTCAGGGCTCTGCCACACCCTTGTCCCATCCCTCCCTTAGCTTTTTCATGATACAACTTCTGGCAAGTGCCACATATTAGCTCCAGAGTGCAGGCATGCCTCCTTTCTGGAGCTCAACACTCTCGATGGGCTTTGAAGCCTTTCCACGTCCAATTTCCATCTTCCTCTCCCAAAGGGTTCCATGATCCAGCCATGCGAAATCCACTGCCTCAACCAGAAGCAACTCCTGGCACTTCCATGTGCACTCCTTGAGTGGCATCCTGCAGGGACTCTGCTGGTGCATCTTCTGCTGGATCCTTAGCCTGCCCCCACCTAGCAGCTGCTGTCCATCCAGCAGCACAGGTGTGCTCTCCGCAATCAAGCTGCACTTGAACCTCCACTAAGCAATCACTTTCTCTTCTGGAGTCTCTTACCCAGCTCCTCTTACATGCATTGTCTGTCAGTGATCTCAATTTTAAGCTCTTGGAGACAAAGACCATATTTCTTACTCATAACTTTATCTGCATAACCCAGCCCAGGCCTGGAAGAAGGTCAGGAAAGACATGACTGGAGGAATCCAGTTCTGCCCTTGGACCAACAGCTATCATGTGAGTTTTCCAGCCTCTTCAGGGTCTGATGGTCTCTGCAGGGCTTCACCATTTGGCATCTCTGCTACGCTCACTGATAGTAACATTTACAAGGTACGGCACATACAAAATACTCCACAAATGATAGCTATTACTACCATGGTAAAGGTAATGAAAACTATATGAAAAAATAAAAGCATTATTATAGTGAGAATCAATCAACAGTGGGAAGGAAAACTCACTGGTCTTAGGTTGAATGATTTAACCTGGCATTTTCTAAAATGAACTCTGCAGAGCATTCCTGGGATAGTCCTGGGTCCTACCAGGAATGACAACAAGAACAAAAGCCCTGCATTAAATGAATTTAGGAAGAAAAACTGGAAACAACAGAATTAAACAGATTTCTTTACTACAGACTTTTAATATGCTAATGTGTATTGTGAATCATGATAAGATAGATTTAACATGCAGCATTTCCCATACTTAGTTCTCTCCGGGGTCTTTCCTTCAAGAAGCATCTCCTTGAAGGACAGCATCTCCGAGCACACTTTTGGAAATGCTGAATTAATCTCTCTGTCAGAACAGGTGTTTCAATGGATTGTTTTTACCCAAATGAAGGCTGTAGATTTTCCACTGCTGAGGTTATTTGGTTAGCCTCTACCCAGCCTGCCATAATGATTTAAATATCAACTCTGTTATCCATCATTTTAGCTGCTTAATATGATCAGTAACCTAATCATTTATATGATTTATAACATAGGACAAAAACAAGCACAGCTATTTCCGTCCCTGAGATTGAATCTCAGAGCATCGGTGCTAAAGAGAAAATGTGTGTCAGGCAGTGAATGTTTTCAGGATCATGTTCACAATAAAGTCAATAATGAATTTTATAAGTGTGTTTCTAATCATGCTCTTGAATGAAAGCCAGTGACATCACACCAAAAATATTTGATTAAATGGATCTTCACAGAGGAAAGCAATTCTCCACTGGAAGAATCTTGCTGATTATAAACGTTAGTGTCCAAAGGATTGACAGATTGAATAGCTGTCAGGTAATCTACTAAAAGTGTTGTTTCTCTCAATCTACCTTTGATGGGGGTTAAGTAATGGCAATGGCAAATTCAAAGTTTTACTTCTAAGCCAGTGCCTGCGGTGCAGCCAGTAGTATTTACCACTGGGTGCTAATAGACCCAAGTGATGTAAAGGCAGCTGATGTGGAGATAAGACCCTGCATTTGCCTCCTGTAATCATAAGACAGTATAGCCATGCCCTTGAGGTCAAACACTGATGTAGAAGTGTGAAGCTGACATACTGCCAAGTGATTGCTTTTCCTGCCTGAAAGACACAGCAAATTCAAGGTGGATTACTTACCAACCTCTTGCACTATTTACATAGGTCTCCAGTTGAAAATGGCAGATGACACATTCTCCCCCAACTTCTAACTAAATATTTATAAAGACACAGAAATGATGAAAATATAGAAAAAAGATGAAGACAATACTGACAGTCATCCCACTGTAAATATTAGGAATTTCCCTTGAATATAGGTAGATGGATATGGATCGAGAAATATAATCACTGGACTACCTATGCTTTTGTTCAAAAGACAGGACAGCCTCGCCACTCTGAATCACCACAGAAGGATATTCTAACATCATTCATTCCTTCTTTGCTTGTTCTTGAAATTGGAGGCCCAAGGTTTATGTCAAATTGAATAGTACATAGCAATTCCTCTACTGTGTGCTTCCTGTTCCTGGGGCAGCCAGACCATTTTCTGCATCTCCCCAAACATATGACAGCAAAAGATTCTAAAAGGTGTTCTGCAGCATGTCAGTCTTACAAGACGCACCTCAGAGAGCTTCATCTAGTCCTATCTCAAAAAGCCACAGTCATCAAAGGCTCTCAGAAGCCATTTAGTAAACAATCCTGTAATGATTTTGTTTAATTCAATATTTCTTAAATGCACTTGAATACAAGGCATTTTTATTTTTCATTTATCATCTATACACATCCTGAAGAACTAGTGTTCCCTGAAACATATTTTCAGAAAATGCTCTAAATTAATTTAGGGAAAACAATTACCAGGAAACAGGAAGACAGAAAACAGGAAGTGGAGGAGAAAGGAGACAGGCAACGGCACGTCGAATCCTGGCACCCATAATGCCCACCAGCAAAGCACATTTGGCCAAGACAGATTACAAAGAATCTCAACATCTTACAGCAGGGCTTGCAGTTGCTTGCTGAGCAATCTAGAGAAAGTGACCATGGGTAGAACAATGCACACAACAGTAAACAACATCTTCCAAATGATTCAGAGGACATGTTTATAATGAAACTGTTATGAAGAACTGAAGGAAGAAAACAGACTGAGATGGAGAGTCACAGGAAGAGACAGAAAAAATGACAAGCTGAGCTTAAAAGGGGAGCTGGGGAGTTAAGGGAGGGTTGCAAACAAAACCAAACCTCTAATCCCAGCATTGGAATTGACGAAGAAAAGACTGGATCAGTCATGGGAAGCCTTCTCTTCCTGACAATGTGAAAGGAATGGTCAGAGATAGCAATGACAAGGACAAGGGGAATGGTGTGGAGAGAATAGAGAATAAAGATCAAAGCTGGAATCACAGATAATTCTGGGAAAACTAATGCACAAACCAGAAAACCCACAAAACTTTGACAGGCTCAAAGAAGACACCATTGGAGAAATACTTTTGAATTTCAAAATAATCAACTGTAAGCCAAAGGGACTTATCACACTCTAAACAAAGTTCTTAAAATAAACCTAGACATATTGTGATTAAAATATTAATTGGACAAAGAATACATACTATAACAAATTCTTACAGAGAAAAAATGGTATTAACTAAAAATCTGCTTTATTTCAGACCTTCCATTTTATACCCTAGAAACAACAACAGAAAGGAGTAAATGTCTCCAACTTATGTAATGCCACAAGAAGTGCATTCCGGACTAAGAAGCCCATTGCAAGATATAAAAGGCTCAGAAATAATCAAAAGTGGCTTGCTTGGAAAAACAGCGTGAATATATAATCTAGCCACTCTGAAAATTAAGAGATCTAGATGGGCAAATCATGGTAGAAAAGCAATGACTTTGAACACTGAAATAATTTAAGCTCATAGTTAAAATGATCTAACTCAAAAAAAAAAAAGAGCAAATAACCTTTCAGAACAATTTGACATCAGACTTTTCAAGAGCAACAGAAGCATTAGTTTCAATAAGACAATGGAGTAAGGTATTTTAAGGCATTTTAAGTAAAAGAACATTAAATCTGAAATTTTATATCCAGACAAATTGCCTTTCAAACGTCATAAAAATATTTTCAGACATACAAGGAAGGCTTCATTGGTTTTGTCTAACAATGACCCATTTTAGAAAGACTTTGTGATAAAGTATCCAAATAAGAAAAGAAACAAACCTAACAAATGCTGCAGGAGATACATGAAGTAGGAGTGATAAAATACCTGGAAAATTTTATTTTGTCTTTTAAAAGGCTAAGAGCACTCCCAAATGGAAAGGATAAAGTGTATATATAAGAAACCAAAATGGGAATGAAAGAGAATAGCAGGATGATATGGTATGAAGCTGTTAAATTTCTTATTATTGAAAAAGAGTTTTTTAAAAAACCTCAAAACACTGGATAATTTAAATCAAAATTTCAAATTTCCTTTTTTTTTAATTTCAACTTTTATTTTTAGATATATGGGGTATGTGTGCAGGTTTGTTACATGGGTATTGAGCTCACTACTCGGGTACTGAGTATAGTACACAATTGTTGGTTTTTCAATTCACATCCTCTTCACCACCTACCAACTCTAGTAGTCCACAGTGTCTATTATTTATTTCTGTACTTATTTTTATTTTATTTTATTTATTTACTTTTTTGAGACCAAGTTTTGCTCTTATTGCCCAGGCTGGAGTGCAATGGTGCAATCTCAGCTCACTGCAACCTCCACCTCCCGTGTTCAAGTGATTCTCCTGCCTCAGCCTCCTGAGCAGCTGGGATTACAGGCATATGCCACCACACCCACTGGGGGCTAAATCTGTATTTTTTTTTTTTTTTTTTTTTAGTAGAGATGGGGTTTCTCCATGTTGGTCAGGCTGGTCTCTAACTCCCAACCTCAGGTGATCCACCCGCCTTGGCCTCTCAGAGTGCTGGGATTACGGTGTGAGCCACCACGCCCAGCCCACAGTGTCTATTACAACACATGTTTCTTTCCATCTGTGCTCAATGTTTAGCTCCCACTTATACATGAGAATATGCAGTATTTGGTTTTCTGTTCCTGTGTTAGTTCACTTAGCATTATAGCCTCCAGCTTCATCCATATTGTTGCAAATGACATGATTTCATTCTTTTTTATAGTTGCATAGCATTCCATGGCCAATGAAATACTTTTTAGTGGTGCATAGTATTCCACAGTATATACATATACCACGTTTATCCAATCCACCATTGATGGGTACCTGGTTGATTCCATGTCTTTTCTGTTGTGAATACATGGTGATGACCATATGAGTACGTGTCTTTTGAGTACAATGATCTATTTTCCTTTGCGTATATACCCAGCAATGGGATTGCTGAGTTGAATGGTAGCTCTATTTTAAGTTCTTAACAATCACAATAAATATTATTGTCAGTTTGAAGGCAGTGATTGGAAAAAATATCTGCTATGTCTTCTTTGCAAATTTTGCTTTAAGGAGGCTGAGGCTTTAAGAGTGAAGGTAATAAGAAGAGATATGCAAAGCAATTCTAATAAAAAGAAAAACTAAGTCACTATCAGACAATATAGAAATTAAGGCAAAACAGTATAGAGAATATATAGACAGTAGTGGAATTGTCGGATTATATGGTAGTTCTATTTGTAGTTTTTTGAGGAAACACCAAACTGTTTTCCATAGTGGTTGTACTATTTACCTTTCCACCAACAGGGTAAAATAATTTCACTTTCTACTCATCCTCAC
The DNA here is from genome assembly GCF_000001405.40 of Homo sapiens. Classification (NCBI taxonomy): domain Eukaryota; kingdom Metazoa; phylum Chordata; class Mammalia; order Primates; family Hominidae; genus Homo; species Homo sapiens. The sequence goes on from NC_000010.11 coordinate 85,798,524, forward strand.
CAGCATTTGTTATGTTTTTTTTGTAATAGCCATTCTAACTGGAGTGAGGTGATATCTCACTATGGTTTTGATTTGCATTTCCCTGGTGATTAGTGATGAGCATTTTTCATATACATACTGTCTCTTTGCATATCTTCTGAGAAGTTCATATTAAGATCTCTTGTTCATTTTTAAATCAGATTTTTTTTTGTTATTGAGTTGTTGAGCTTCTTGTATATTCTGCATATTAACCCCTTGTCAGATGCATAGTTTATAAATATTTATTTTCTCCTATTCTGCAGGTTGTCTCTTCACTGTTGATTGTTTCCTTTGCTGTGCAGCTTTTTAGTTTGATTTAATCTCATTAGTCTATTTTTGTATTTGTTGTCTTTTTTTTGAGGTCTTACATAAAAAGTTATTGCCTAGACCAATGTCATGAAGTGTTTCTCCCATATTTTTTTCTGGTAGTTTCATAGTTTGGGGGTCTAACATTTTAGTATTTAATCTATTTTGAGTTGATTTTTATAAGAGATAAGGGTCTATTTTCATTCTTCTGCATGTAGATATTCAGGTTTTCCAGCATCATTATTGAGAAGACTACTTTTTCTAATGTCTGCTCTTGGCACCTTTATGAAAACCAGTTGGCTGTAAATGTGTGTATTTATTTCTGGGCTCTCTCTTTTGTTTAATTGGTCTACATGTCCATGTCTACATTGGTACCAACCTGTTTGGTTACTATTGCTTTGGGGTATACTTTGAAGTCAGAAAGTGTAATGCCTCCAGCTTTGTTCTTTTTGTTTAAGATTGCTTTTGCTATCTGGGATCTTTTGTAGCTCCATACAAAGTTTAGAACTGTTTTCTTCTATATATGAAAAATGATTATGTTGAAGGAATATCTGCACTCCTATGTTTATCTATGCTTATTACAACACTACTCACAATAACTAAGATATAGAATCAACCTAAGTGCCTACCAATGGATGAATAGATTTTTAAAATGTGTTATACATACAACACAACATAATATTACTTAGCGATAAAAAAGACTTAAATCTTGTCATTTTCAACAAAATGGATGAACCTAGAGGACATTACGTTAACCCAAATAAGCCAAGCACAGGAAAAATGTCACATGGTCTCACTCGTGGAATCTTAAAAAAGCCAATCTCATAGGAGTAGAGAGTAGAATAGTGGTTACCAAAGTTGGGAGAGTAGTGGGGAGGTGGAGAAGGGCAGAGGTTGTTTATTGGGTATAAAATTAGTTAAAGAGGAGTAATGACTTCTGGTGCTCAGTTGCATAGTAGGGTGACTACAGTTAAAGATAGTGTGTTGTATATTTCAAAATAGCTAGAAGAGGGAAGTTTGAATGTTCTCATCACAAAGAAATGACAAATGTTTGAGGTAATTAATATGCTAATTATGCTGATTTGATTATTATACAATGTATATATGTATCAAAACATCACACTGTACCCTATAAACATGCACAATTATTATGTGTCAATTAAAAGACAAAATTAAAAAGTATAGGGAATATAGAAAATCACTACAGAATGTTGAAAGCATTTAATGAATCAAAAACACATATCTAATTCATGCATGTCTAAACAAGTATGTGCCTAATAAATTAGTCACAAGATATACACATATAGAATTACAAAAAAAAAAACTCTAAAACTCTATTAAGTGAGTAATTTCTAAGGAACTTCCTCATTGGTCAAGCAAACCAATGGCCAAAATTATAGAAGATGTGAACAACACAATTTAATGAGCATATAGTTGCGTATCAGACAATATAAAAACACACATCATTCTCAGGCATTTATAATACAGTCCCGAAACTGGATTACATACTAAACAAGAACAAACTATGTTCTTAACCAAAGGTTACAAGATAGAAACAAAAACATAAGATATTGTTACATAGAGAAAAATTTTAAAGTACTTGTAAATAACTCCAAGATCATAGAAAAATCCATAATGGATAGTTCAAAACCATCTAGAACTATAACAACAACAAAACCCCAAAACGATGACCACATAGCTAAATTTATAGAATATAGCAAAAGTGGTAATTCGAGGAAAATATTTAACTTCCAATTCTTATATTAGAAGAGAAGCAAAACCTAAGAATCTATAAAGAGAGTAACATTAATTTCAAAAATATACAAGGAAGGAGATAAGGACAGAAATTAACACAATTATTTATTTACTTAATAAATCTTTATATATTACTTTCTATGTGTCAGGCAGCACGAGTGCTTTGCAGTTATTAACTCTTCTAATCATCATAACAACCTATGAGGTGGATATAATTCCCACTTTACAGAGATAGAAACGGAAGCACAGAGAGTTTAAGTAATTAACACAGAACCACACAGCTAGTAATTGCTGGAGCCAGAATCTGGCTACAGAGTTTGAGCTGTTTCGTTAAAATAGAAAGACTCCAATATACATAAAAGTCAATTATTTAAAAAGAATAATAAAATAGGCAAACCTCTGGGATTATTGATTTGGAGAGAGAGAGAAATAAAGAGTGACAACAAACAAACAATATTATGATTTAAAAAGTGACATAATTAACAACAGAGTAAAAACTAAAATATGAGAGAATATTATTAATTCCTTTATGCTAATAACTTTTAGAAGTTAGAAAATTTGTTTGTTAAAGTTAATGTAAAATAATTCAATAAGAAATAAAACATGAAAATTCTGTTAGCTTTTGAAAAAAATTAAAAGAATTAAAGGTTTTCCCACAAAGAAGTTCTTAACATTTTCATAGGCAATTTTTACTAAATTTACAAGATGCATGTTCTTTTTAGAAATATAAGCAAAAGGAGCATACTGTAACTCGTCTTATAAATCCACTATAATTTTGATCTGAAAAGAAATAAAAATTATTCAAGAAGAAAATTTTACAGGACTATTCATTTTATTTGTCAATATAAATGTAAAATGTCTAAATAAAAGTGTTAAAAATCTTTAAAACAAATTCTAAATAACTAAATACAACAGAATTTATGAATTTTGTTAAACAAATTAATAGAGAAAACCCATGTCATCACCTCACAGAGACAAAGAAAACTTTCCATAATATTTAATATCTTATTTATGATAAAATTATATTAGGAATGGAAAGAAAGTGCTTTATTTTGATAAAAGGGATCTACAAAGTACATTTAATAAACATAACCATAAGTGGGAAAATGTAAAGCAACTGCTTTAAAATCAGAACATAAAATGATGTTCAATATTAACAAATCTATTCAACATTATACTACATGTTCTAGAATATACAATTATAGGGAAAAAAACCTAAGAATTAGATATGTGAAATTAAGAGATATTATTTTCAGATTACGTGTTTATATATAAAACAAACAAAAATAATCTTGAGAAAAACTATTAGCTATAAGAGATGAATTTAGATAAACAAATATAAAATCTCTCTATAAATGTTACTTGTTTTTCTATACACCAAACAATTAGAGAAAACATCTTTAAAGGACAGCATTTACAATAGCAAATAAATCTAACAAAAATGTGCAACATCTGTAAGAGGAAGTTATAAAAATTACTGAAAGTCATTAAAGAATTTTAAAATGAACTGTTAACCCATGATCAAGGAAAACAAGACATAATATGGTAAGGATATCAACTGTCGCTGAAATTGTTCTATACAGCCAAAGAAATGCTAATCAAAAAAGCAACATTTCACAAGGAACTTGGAGGGAATAAAGAGCCAAGAATAGCTAAGACATTTCTGAAGAAGAACTGGGAGAGAGAACCCAACTTAACAGATAATATGATTTATATGATTTATTATTAAGCCATAGAAATTAAGATAGTTCAGTATTGGTACAGTGATAGATCAACTGACCATCACAATAAAATAGAGAACCCAGAAGCAGACCCACATATATATGAATATGAAAATTTGCCTATAGAAAACAGGAGGCATGATAAATCATTAGGCAAAGGACTACTGGATAAATAGAACTGTGGTAAAATGCTTATTCGTAACCTTTTAAAAATGAAATTGTATGCCAACTCATATTATGCACAAAATTTATCTCCACATAGATTCAGATCTTATCTTTAAAAGGAAAAAAAATTAAATTTTAATAGGAAGAACTCCTAATCCTGGTCATAACAGAGGAACTGGTACTAGCACTTCCACCAATAAATAACTTAAAAGCAGAAATAAATATACAAAAAAAAACTGTTTTCAAACACTGGACAAGAGGCAGGGCAGAACTGTGACCGTTGAGAGAAGAGAGACAGATGAAGAGAGTCCTGCAATCTCACCAGAACTCCAAGCATCCAAGCAGAATAAACACACACACACACACACACACACACACACACACACACACACACACACCAAGGAACATTCAAATCAAATTGCTTATTTGCAGGATCTAAAAATCAAAACAATTGAACTCATGGAGACAGAGAGTAATTGGTACTAGCACTTCCACCATAAATAAAAACAGGAATAAATATACAATAAAAATTGTTTTCCAACACTGGACAAGAGGTTGGTTGCCAGAAGGGTGGTTACCAGAGGCTGGGAAGGGTAGTTGGAGGGTAAGTGGAAGGTGGGGATGGTTAATGGGTACAAAACATATAGTTAAAAGAATGAGTAAGAGCTATTATTTGATAGCAAAACAGTGTGACTATAGACAATAATAACTTAACTGTATATTTAAAAATAACTAAAAGAGTATAATTGGATTGATTTGTAACACAAAAGATAAATGTTTGAGAGGATGGATACATTCCCCATGATGTAATTATTTCACAGTGCATGCCTGTATCAAAACATCTCATGTATCCTATAAATATATACACCTATTATGTACCCACTAAAAATACGATTAATTTATTTTTAAAAACCCCACATACAAACTTAACCTAACTGACATTTATGGAACACCACATCCAACAACTTCAGTGCAAATGAACTACTCACCTAGATTAACTATTGTTTTTCTATCAGACAAGTCTCAATAACTTTAAAACAACTAAAATCAAGCAGAAAATATTCTGTGACCAAAACAAAATTAATTAATAAATTAATAACAAAAGCATTTTCAAAAAAAAAGCTCTAAATAAAGAAATTTAAGCAACATATGTGAAAATAACCAATTGGTCAAAAAACTGTAATGAAAATTAGAAAATATATTTTTAGATTTTAATTTTTGTGGGTACATGGTAAGTGTATATATTTGTGGGTTACATCAGATGTTTTGATACAAGCATCAATACATAATAATCACATCAGAGTCAATGGGGTATCCATCACCTCACACATTTATACTTTTTGTTATATTTTGAGCTAAAAAATAATGCACACTCAAATAGCAAAGTTTATGGGACACAGTCAAAGCAGTATTTATTTAAAAAGTTATAGTTCTGAATATTTATATTTTTTTAAAAGAGAAAGGTATACAGTCACTAACCCAAGCTTTCAATTAAGGAGCTAAGAAGAACAAAGTAAGCACAAAATAAATAGAATTAATGGAACACTAAATAGGGGATATCAATGAAATTGAAAAAAAACAGAAAATATATAAAGACAAAAATTCATTCTTGACAGTAACAATAAAAATTGATAAAACCCTATTTAGACTAGTTAAGGAAGAAAAAAATGAAAAAAAAGCATAAATTACCCATCTAGGGAGTAAAAGACAGGGTATCACTACTGATTCTACGAACATGAAAATGATAATAAAAGACTGCTATAAATAATATGCCAATGAATTTGAAAAAATAAAGTGAAAAAAAAAGTTTTGAGATCCAAATGACCAAAACTGACATTAGAAGAACTAAGAATTCTAAATAGACCTGTAACAATTAAAGATATTGAATTCATAATTCAAAAGCCTCATACAAAGAAAATACAGGTCTACATGGCTTTACACAACCATATGGGAACAAACAATACCAATTTCACACAAACAACTTCAGACAGAACAGGGGAAAGGGTACTTCCTAACTCATTTTATATGACCAATGTTATACTCATTCAAAATCAAAGACATTACAAGAAAAAAATCATAGATTAATACCCTTCATCATAATAAATCTAATTCACTTATATATAAAAAAGATATAGCATTATGACTATGTACGTATTTGTCATAGAATTGCAAGGTTGTTTTACCTTTCAAAAAAAATCAGTCAATATAATTCACTCCTCATTAACAGAATAAGGCAACAAATTACCATAACAATCACAGTAAAAATTGTATTACATTCAAAGCTGAATTATGGTAAATGCCTCAGCAACAAAAAAACTGGATAAAGCCCATGTTCAAAAAAACCTTCATTTCACAACATGCTTAATAATAAAACCTGAATACTTTCTAATTAAGTTTGGGGACAAGGATGTCAGCTCTTACCACATCTTTCCAACATTATAGTAAAGGTACAAAAGAAAAAACCACAGAATGAAAAGAAAAGAAAATGAAGGAAAAAAGAGGATGGGAGGAGAGAGAAGGGAGAAAAGGAAGGAAGAAGTTGACTGCCCTTTTGGTCATATATCTAAAAAATGCAAAGAAGATAAGAAAAATATACTAGAATATAGGAACATACTATACATAATATATAGGAATATAATAATAAAATATAGAAATAAAATTCTAGATCTAATACATATTTAACAAGTTCACAGGATACAAAAACCTGGTATCTGTCTACACACCATTAGTTAGCCACTGAAAAATGAAATTTAAAACAACTTTTGAAACAGTGTACAAAACATAAACTACATAATACTAAATTTAATAAGATATATGCAAGGGCTGTGTACTAAAAAACTATTGATGAGAAAAATAAAATAAAACCTAAATAAATGAAAAGATTTGGCATGTTCATGAGTGAAAGACTCAATATTGTTAAGATGTCCAATAAACCCTAAATTGGTCAAAAGATTTAACAATCCCCCCCAAAAAATCCCAGATGTTTTCAGACAATTTGACTCTAAGAAATTATGTGATTCTAAAAATTTAAAGGACTAAGAATAGACAAAATAATGTTTACCAAGGCAGTAAAAGTGAAGAATTTACATCATGTGACTATAAAGCTTCAGTAATGAAGAAGGTGTGGTATTAGCTTAAAGATAAGTGTATTTTAAAAACTAAACAGACTAGAGAGTCTGGAAAAAGATCCACATATACATGCTGAATGCATTTTCAACAAAGATCCCAAAGTAATAAATTAGGGCAAGAAATGCCTTTTCAATAATTAGATATCATATGATAAATAAATAGGTAAATAAATACCTTGATACCTCCCTCACAACACATACAAAACAATAATTCAAAATCAATCATAGCCAGAAAAGTAAAACATAAAACTATAAAATTTTAGACAAAAACATAGGGAAAAATATTTGTGACTTTGGGATGGACAAAGTTTTTTTAATAGGAAACAAAAAGCCATAAAAGAAAGATTGATAAATTGGACCCCATAACTATCATGCTTTAAAAAAAAAAAAGTCCATTAAGGAAAAGACAAGCAAGCTATGGTCTGGGAGAAAATATTCACAATACATACACCTAATTAATGAATGGTATCCAGAATATTGAAGAAATTATATAACTCAATCAAAGAAGACAAGCAATCCAATGTTTTAAATGGGCAAAAGATTTGAATAGACACTTCACAAAAGAACACATTAAGAGTTACCAACAAGCACATGAAATGATGCTCAATATTATTAGTCTTTATAGAAGAATTTGAAAACACAAATACCACTATATGCCCACCAGAATGACAAAAATTAACACAGTCATGCCAAGTGTTGGTAAGAAAGTGGAGCAACTGGAAATTCCATATATTTCTGGTGAGAATACAAAAGGATATAGCCAATTTGGAAAACAGTTCAGCAATTTCTTAGACTGTGTTCTTAGACTATGGCTAGACATTTATCATAACCCTAGATATTTAATTAAGACAAATTAAAGCATACGTCCCCATCCACACAAATAATTGCATGTGAATGTTCTCAGAAGCTGGATTTATGATAACCCAAGTTTGGAAAAAAAAACAAATTTTCATAAAATTGTGATAATATTCATATAATGAAATGCCACTCAAATAAAAAGGAACAATTCAATAAAAAGGAATAAACAAAACAACGTGGAAAACTCAAAAACATTAGGCTAATTAAAAGAAAATTGATATAAAAGATGACTGTGTACTTTATTTGTATGTTCTAGAATAGATAATATTTATAGTGACAGAAATCAAAAACTTGCCTACAATGAAGGGGGCATTCAATTCAAAAGGGGAATGGGAGAACTTTTTAGTGTCATGGAAAGGTTCTAGTGCTTAAATAGGGTGGTGGTTACCTGTATGAACATATTTATCATTACTAATCTAATCATGCAATCAAAATGGGTGCACTTTAATATTTGTAAATTACATCTCAACAGATTTTTTTAAACTTTACAAAATGTAAGAATATATATTTTACCTTGGATTCAGACAAATAGTACTGCTTTTAAAAGTAAAAAAAAAATCTTGGTTTATTAACTGTAAAGAAAAATAATCTTGGGCTGGGCATAGTGGCTTATGTTTGTAATCTCAGCACTTTGGGAGGCTGAGGTGGGTGGATCATCTGAGGTCAGGAGTTTGAGACCAGCCTGGCCAACATGGCAAAACACCATCTCTACTAAAAATACAAAAATTAGCCAGGTGTGGTGGCGCGCACCTGTAGTCTCAGCTACTCGGGAGGCAGAAGCAGGAGAATCACTTGAACCCAGGAGGCAGAGGTTGCAGTGAGCTGAGATCACGCCACTGCACTCTGGTCTGGATGGCAGGGCAAGATTCCATCTCCTCAAATAAAAAAAAAAAAGGAAAGAAAAAGAATCTTGATTTATTAAGATTAAGAATTAGTAATTTTAGACACCTTAAAAATATGGAGGGAAGAATGATACGAATATATGAAAGATAATCATGTGACTTAAAATCAAAAAGTTAGAAGTTTCAGAAACTACATGAAGAACTCTCATTAATCAGTTAGAAAGAGATAAATATTCCCGTAGAAAAAATGAGAAATGGAAATGAATATTAACTGGAAAAAAACATATGTTAAATTAACATATGAAGAGCTGCTCAGTTTTCATAGTGATCAGGGATATGCAAAACATGATCAAAATGTGATACTATTTTACATTCTCTCGAGTGGCATAAATAAGAAGCCTAAAAAATAGTAAGGGGTGAAGAAGATGAGGATCAGTGGAATATTGTATTCACTGCTGGAAGTATAATTAATATAACCACATTGGAAAACAAATAGATATTATAAGTTGATTTTTTAAGTTTATTATTCACAAGACTCAGGAATTCCATTTCTGTACATAGTCAAGAGAAACTCTTGTACATCAGTAATATAAATTAAACAACATAGTTGCACATATAATAAACTTTATTAACATAACAGTGTTGAGTTTAAAAGTAAAGCCCAGGAGATACCTTTATTTGAAAGTTCAAATCTATTTAAACTGAACAACACTTCAGGGAAATGGCATGAATAAATATATAATAGAATCATAAAAATAAGGGAAGTTCCCATAGTAAATAATTATAAAATCTATCAAAATGTAGAAAATAACTGATTTCAGGCCTTAGATATAAACAATTACAAGGTTACTCCTGCAATAACAAGAAAAACATGGCAGGAGGCCCATATTCACACCAGACATTATTACCTGCAGATATTTTTAAATCAGTTTTGCATGGAAATCAAACACAAGCACGGAATGAGAGTCTCACTAGGTGAAGGGAATAGAAATAAGAGTTTGTGGTACCAAGGTGAGAAAAATTTGTGAAGTATGTTAAGAGAAAGGAACAATTTGAAATTAAAAAGAAGTCCAAAATATCTCTGTAAAAATTGCAAACTCTTGGATGACTCCTATGACACGTAACTAGCTTGCAAAAAGTCTAAGATGATGTCACTGACCAACTAGGAAAATGGAGAAATTAGCACATATTTCAGAGGTCACAAAGTTCTGGAAATACGTTAAACTTTAGGCCCAGGCAAAGTATAAACATCTCGATGAATAAATGTCAATGACTTTTAAGTGACACATAAGGGAGGTTATGCCTTCAGTGCAAGCATGATCTAAGTAAGAGTGAGGAAAAGGCTAAAATAGAATCCCACAACAAATTGAAAATCATACCTCAATAGGACCAAGATGATTTGTTAGCAACAAAAATGACTTTTAGTATAGCATTTTACAATAATCAGACAAAACTAACATAAACCAAAGATGGTACAACGTATCTCCCACAATGTCCAGGAAACGTAAAAATGTACTATTACACATATTAAAAAACAGAAAATGACTGATAATCAAGAGATAAAATAGTCAATAGAATTAAGACCTTAAAAGGTAAAGATATTGAGTGAACAGACCAGCATTTAAAAATAAATATTATGTCTATATTATGCTTGTATGTCAAAGAAAACAGAGGAAATGAGAGACAACCTGAATGAAAAGTTAAAAAATTTGAACAAATAATTTAAATCCACAAAAAATTATAAATACAGTCGAGAATTGTAAAATAAAATATAAAATCGAATATTCACTAAATCAGAATAAAATGGACCGGACACAGCAGAAGACGTGACTCGTTAACCTATAAATATGTTTATACCCAATATTCAACTGATTCACAGAGAAAAAAATAAAATGAGGAAAAAAACAGAGCATAAAAGATACAAGTTCCTGTTAAAAATGTCTAATAAATGTTTAATTGTTGTCTCAAAAGAAGAGAAAGTATCACAACTTAAATTATTAAATTTAATAAAACACATCAAACCAATCCCTCAATAACTTCAGTAGGATAAAAGTAATAAAAGCCACACCTACTTAAACACATTATAGTCATACTCCCAAAACCACACCTACCTAAACACATTATAAACATACTCCCAAAACTCAAACACAGAGAAAATTTTAAAAGCAGCTAGACAAAAAAGTATGTTCCTTTAAAAGGAGCAGCAATAGGATGGATGACTTTCAGAACAAAAATCTGCCTAGACAAAAGGAGTGCTATCAGCAAGATGGGTAATTAGAAAGACCTGCCACACATTTCTCCTTATAAAAAAGGACCAAGTAAGTAAATTAACAACTAAAACTTTTACTGAAACTTCAGAGGGAAAGTGCTGAAGTGTAACAAAGGAGTAGTGAAGTCATTTCAGTGTTCAGAGACTCAAGAGGGTAGCAGAGAGGGGAGCAAGGCACCCTCCCTCTGCTGAACCATCTCTCTTATTGAGATCAGCTCAGAGTGGAGGGACTTCTTCCTGTGGGAAAGGGAAAGCAGAGGACCTGCAGCAGCCCTCACTGCCACTATAGCCCCCCTGTAGTCTTTACTACAGAAGAATCCCACAGTCTTCACAATCCCTCAGCTCAGTCTGGGAGCTGTCTGGAATTCACATGGCTGCTTTTCACTGGATTAGGAGCACAAGTTTTGTACTTCCATTATCCAATTACCCAAGCTGCTGGGGTGTGGTGCCATCTTAAAACCAGAGCCACTACTGGAGTGTGCTCTGCCCTGGGGGCCAGTAGCAACTTTGGGCCTCCAACCATGGGATTCCACCATCTTTCCACCCACATGGGTGGCTGTAACACCATGACCCCAGCTGCTGGGGTGTGGTGCCATCTTAAAACCAGAGCCACTACTGGAGTGTGCTCTGCCCTGGGGGCCAGTAGCAACTTTGGGCCTCCAACCATGGGATTCCACCATCTCTCCACCCACATGGGTGGCTGTAACACCATGACCCCAGCTGCTCAGAGCCTGGGCCCAGGAATGGCCCTTGCTCCCTTACCACACTGCAGGTAAGCCATCCTGGGTCAGCTGAACTGCTGTGCACCCATGTCCCTGGCCAGATAAACAGTCCAGCAGACCTGACCCTGGCTAGACACACCCTTGAGCTGCTAAGCAGCTGTGGCCAGAGTTGGAGAAACAGTCTAGCAGACCTGACTCTAGCAGAGAAGGCCCCAAAGCAGATGAGCAGCTGTGTGCCTGAGTCATGGTAAGAGAAACACTCCAGCAGACCCATTCCAGGCAGACCTGGCCTTAAGCTGACCTAACTACCATGCACCCTCACTCCCAACTGGAGATGAAGCCAGGCAAACCTGCCCCGGCCGACATGCCCCTAAGCTCCCAAGCATCTGCATCATCATATTCCCCATCAGAAAAACAGCCTGGTGGACCTGCCCCAGGCAGACATATGCCTGAACTGGCTTAGTGGCTATGCACCCATTACCCTGACCACAGAAATAGCTGAGTAGACCCAACCCTGGCAGACCCACTCCAAGCCAGCCAAACAGGCATGACTCATGTCTCCAGTTGGAGTAATAACCCAGAGACCCTGACCCCGGTGAGCCAGTCCCCAAGCCAGCTGACTCATCCTGAGCACCTGCACCCAAAGTCCAAAAAACATCCTGGTGGCACAAACCTTAGTGAACCAGCCCTCAAGTTGGCTGATCCACTGTGTTCATGCATACACCCTAGCCTGAGAAACACTTCAGCAAGCCCACCCCTGAAGAAGCTGTGTCATCACCACCACAAATCCTCACAACCTAGGCCACTGAGGCACTATCAAACATCACTAACATGGATTACATCTGAAGAAACTGCACTACTTTATGTACCAAGAACCAAAGTCAGTACATCCCAGCCAATCGACATATAAAAACCCATCTATAGGAATAAGGCTTTTCCTATGAAACCTATTCTATAAAATTGGAAGAGGCTACTATTCCCTCAGGTGCATAAATATCAATGTAAGGACACAGCAAACTTGAGAAAGCAAGGAAACATGACACCTCCAAAGTAACACAATAATTTTGCAGTAATAGACCCCAAATCAAAGGAAATATACAAAATGCCAGTGAGATACAAGATAATATAAATAAACGATTCAATTAAATTAGGAAGCCAACTTAGTATCTGCATTAAAAATTAAACAAGAGATAGATATTATTTTTAAAAAGAACCAAACAAAAATTCTAGACCTGAAAAACTTAATGAATGGAATAAAAAATACAATCAAGAGCTTCAACAACAGACGAGACCAAGCAAAAGAAAGAATTTCTAAACTTCAAGACAGATCTTTTGAAATAACAAAAGCAGACAAAAAAAGAGAAAGAACAAATAAAGAAAGCCTACAGAATTTATGGAAAACCATTAAGTGAATAACTATTTGCATTATGAGCAATCAGAAGGTGAAGAGAAGGGAAGAGGTGAGGAAAACATTTTTGATAAAATAATAGCAGAAAACTTCCCAAGTCTAGAAAGAGAGAGATGGACATCCAGGTCCAGAAAGCTCAAAGGACCCCAAATAGATTAAACACAAACACATCCTCTCCCACGTACATTAGAGCTAATCATCAATCAAAGACAAAGAGAGCATTCTAAAAGCAGCAAGAGAAAAACAGCAAGTCAGGTATAAGAGAATTCCAATTAGACCAACAGTAGGTTTCTCAGAAGAAATCTTACAGGCCAGAAAAGAATGGAATAATTTATAGAAAGTGCTGAAAGAAAAACATACTGCCAGTCAAGAACTAGGCAAAACTGTTATTTAGAAAGGAGGGAGAAATAAAGTCTTTCCCAGATAAGCAAAAACTACAGGAATGATTCACAACTTTACTGGTGTTAAAAGAAATGATTAAGGGAGTCCTACATCTGGAAGTGAAAAGATGATAACTACCATCATGAAAACACACAAAATTACAAAAATCATAGTTAGAACAGATACACAAAGGAGAAAGAGAAAAAAAATCAAACCTTACTATGACATGAGAATAAGATTACATACATAAAGTATTAAAATAAAGAAAATTACAAACCTGGAACTTGATAACCTGTGGAAATGTGCTTCAAAAAATGATGATCAGGGTGTATGTACAAAGGTGACATATATGTTGTGATAATGGCAGTGATGTATAGTGGCTGTAAAAGCCCTCTTGGAGATAGCAATGATTAGCATTTTATTATTTTTTAAACCTCTTAATTTACTTAAAAGACATAACTGGAATTCCAATTCCGCTAGGCTGGTAGGAATCCATTACAGCCCAGCCCTTCTGCTAGTTGGAGCTATAATTTCTGGAAAAAAATGCAGAAAATAATTACCTGAGGACTCTAAAGTGTGAGGTAATGCAGGCAGATTGTGAATGAAAGTCAAAACTAAACAAGCAAACAGAAGTTCTCTCTCTCTCTCTCTCTCTCCCTCCCCCCAATCTCTCTCTTTCACTACATATTTGTGTGTGTCTATATATACATATATATGTGTATGTATGTGTATTAATATGTGTATATCTGTGTGTATATTATATATATATACACACACATATGTGTGTATATATATATTCCCCTGCTCTCTTTCAACTTAAGAGGGCTCTTGCTGTGTATCAGCATGGTGGTAATGGCAGCATTGGTACCTAAAGTTAGCATGGAAACTCATGTATTGCTTTATATTTGGTGAACTTGAATAGAACAATAGAAACAATTCAATCTGAAGAGAAAAGAAGGGGGAAAAGATTGAAAAAGAAAGATCAGAGCCTCTAGGACTCTACATTAAATGGTTTAATTGATGTGCCATTGGAGCCCCAGAAGAAGAGAAAAACATTTTCATGCAAAAATATTTAAAGCAGTAATTATAGAAAACATTCCAAATTTGATAAAATATATATATATATAAATTACGGATTCAAGACAGTCAGTGAACTCCAAAAAGTATAAGCACAAAGAAAACCATGTCTACATACATCTTAATCAAATTGCTGAAAACAAAATAAAAGGAAAAATCCTGAAAGCAGCCAGAAGAAAACAACACATTATACACAGGGGAAGCAGGATTGGAATCACCATTGATTTCTCATCAGAGGATATGGAAGTCAGAATAAAGTGGAACAACATCTTTAAAATGTGAAACGCTGAAAAAAAAAAAAGAACTGTCAAACCAGAATTTTATATCCTATAAAAATATCCTTCAAGAACAAATGAAACTTACAATCTTCTCACAAGAAGAAAAACAAATAGAAGTTTTACAGCAGGCCTACAATATTAAAAATGTTTTTTAAAATTTGCTTTAAAACATTTTTTAAAAACTTATGTTTAAAAAAATTCAAGGTAAACAATACCAGAGGGAAACTTGCATCTTCAGAAATTAAAGAATAAAATAAATAGTAAATATCTAGGCTATTTTCTTATATCTTAAGTACTTTTAAATGTGTGCAACTGAATGTTGAAATAAAAAATTATATCATCTGTTAGATCTTTCAGTGTATGCAGATATATATGACATCTATAATGCAAAATAGCATAGGGGTAAGGGAGGAGAGTTATAGGGACCTCCATGCTAGAAATTTTCTAAAGTTTACATAAAGTGATACAATATTAATGCTACGTAAATCCCTTAAATATTGACAGAAAATACATACCCAAAATGTAAATAAATAAAATGAAATATTTTTAAAAATTTAAATAATTCAAAAAAGGCAAGAAAAAGGATATGGAGACTGAACAACCAAAAAATTAATAAGAAAATTGTAGACATAAACCCAACTCTATCAATAATTACACAAAATTATACAATGTGCCAAACACTCCAATTTAAAGGCAGATATTGATAGAGTGGACAAAAAGCAATACCCTGCCATGGGCTGCATATACAAGCAACAATTTAAATATAAATGCCAGGCAGATTGAAAATAAATGGATGGATAATTATGCAACTTATGTAATGTTGTGAAATGTAGCCAAAGCAGGACTTAGAGGGAAATGTGTAGAATTAAATGCTATGTTAAAGAAAGAATAAAGATATAAAATAAATAACCTAAGTTTCTAACTTAAGTAATTAGAGAAAGAATAAATTAAAGCTAAAACAAGCAATAGAAGGAAAATAATAAAGGTAAAAGCAGAAATGATTGAAGTTAAAAACAGAAAAACAACAGAGAAAAATCAATGAAACTAAAAGATAGTGTCTTTGAAAAGATGAGTAAGATTGATAAACCTCTAGTCAGTCTGTCCAAGTAATGAATAGAAATAACACAAACTACTAACATCTGGAATTAAAATAGGACATTACTACATACTTTTAAATGATATTAACGGAATACCATTAATAATTCTATGTCTATAAATTAAACAACTTTGATGAAAATAATCAATACCTTGAAACATACAAACTACTATAAACTACTTAAGAAGAAATAGATAATGAGATAACCCTCATATCTATTAAAGTTATTAAATTTGTAGTTAAAAACCTTTCAAAAGGCCCTTATAGTTTCACTGATGGATCAGGAAGAAATAATACCAATTCTGCACAATTTCTTCTAGAAAACAGAAGAGGAGAGAATATTTACCAACTCTTTTTATGAGGTCAGCATTATGCTCATACCAAAACCAAATGGTCATTACAGAAAAACTGGAGACCAACAGTTCATGTGAACATAGATGCAAAATTGTCAGCAAAATACCAGCAAACTGAAAGGAGCCACATATAAAAAAGATAATACATCATGACCAAGTGATGTTCATGCCCAAAATGCAAAACTGCTTTCACATACAAAAATCAATTGCTGGAATTCGCCATATGATCACACTGAAAACCTGAGAGAAAAAAATCATAATCATCTCCATGAACCATTCAACAAAATTCAACATCTATTCATGATAAAAACTCTCAAGGAACTAAGAACAGAAGGAAACTTCCACGACTTAATAAAAGACATCTTTTTAAAAATCTGCAATAATATCTCATTTAATGAAAGACACTGAATGCTTTCTCCCTAAGAGTGGGAACGAGGAAGGAATGCCTTATTTCACAATTCCTAATCACCATCATATTGGAAGGCATGTAATAAGACAATAAAAATAAACAAAAGAAATACAAGAAATATAGATTGGAAAGAAATAAATAGAACTGTCTTTATTCACAGATAAAATGATTCTCTATGTAGAAAAAACTAAACAATTATATTAAAATCTACTAGTAAGTAGTAAGTTAGTAAACTAATAAGTAAGTTTAACAAGGTCACCAGATACAAACTCAAATTGGACCACAGACTTAAATGTAAAACTTTAAAACTTCTAGAATAAAACATAAAGAGAAAAATCTTCTTGAACTTAGGTTTCTAGAAGGTTTACATATGACACCAAAATCACAATACACCAAAAAAATGTAATTTGAAATTTATCAAAATTTAAGTACTGATTCTTCTGCAAAAATACACTATTAAGTAATGAAAAGGCAAGTCAGAGATGGGGAAAGATATTTTAAAACTCTTATCTAATGAACACCTTCTATTAAGAATACATCTATAGAAAATTAATACTTCAACAATAAAGCAAAACAACTCCTTTTTTGTAAAAAAAAGCTTACATCATTAGTCATTAGTTAAATGCAAATTAACACCTCAATTAGGTACTACTATATATTTATTAGAATGGCTAAATTTAAAAAAATATATATTATGATAATAAATTGGCAGCACCAAATGCTGGCAAAAATGTGGAGCAAAAAGAACATGAATTCATTGTTGGTGGAAATGCAAAATTATACAGCCACTTTGATAAAAAGTTTGGCAGTTTCTTATGAAAATAAATTATCTACTTATGACATGACCCATCAATTCTACTTCAAGGTATACATCCAAATGAATTAAAACTTACTTTTACATAAATATCTTTACAAAAATTTTGATAATGCCCTTATTCAGAATTGCCAAAAAGTGAAAATAATCAAGATGTCCTTCAAGAGTTGAATGGATAAACAAACCCTGGTACATCCAATGATGGAATACTATTTAGCAAGAAAATGAAGAAACAAATTACAGAACAGCATAAATGAATCTTAAATAGATTTTGCTAAGTGAAAGAAGACAGACCCCAAAGGCTACATACATATCATGTAACTCACTTATAAAATTCTTGTAAAGTCAACCTATAGAGACAAAAATTTGACTAGTGGTTGGTTGCCTGGCTGGTTTTTAAGGATGTGGGGTTGAATAGAAAGAAGCCACACAAGACAATTTTTAGGGTGATGGAACTATTCCACATGTTACCATGTTGGTGGATACATGACACTGTGCATTTGTCAAAATCTATAAAACCGCACACCACAAAAGTAAACTTTATTGTATAATTTTTTCATGCTTTTTGTTATCATTATTATTTTAACGTTTATTTGAGGTTCGGGTGTACATGTGCAGGTTTGTTATATAGGTAAACTGTGTGTCAAAGGGATTTGGTGTTCAAATAATTTCATCATCCAGGTAATAAGTATAGTACCTGATAGGTATTTTTCTCTGATCCTCTCCCTCCTTCCACTCTTCACCCTCAAGTAGACCCCAGAATCTGTTGTTCCCCTCCTAGCAGCCATGTGTTCTCATTGTTTAGCTCCCACTTATAACTGAGAACATGCAGCATTTGATATTCTATTTCTGTGTTAGTTTCCTTAGGACAATGGCTTCCAGCTCTATGTTGCTGCAAAGGACCTGATCTCATTATTTTTTATGGCTGGATAGTATTTCATGGTATATATGTACCACATTTACTTTATCCAGTCTGCCATTGATGGGCATTTAGGTTGATTCCATGTCTTTGCTATTTTGAATGGTGCTGCAACAAACACACACATGCATGCATCTTTATGGTAGAATGATTTATATTCCTCTGGGTATATATCCAGTAATGGGATTGCCGGGTCGAATGGTAATTCTGTTTTAAGTTCTATGCCTGTAATCCCAGCACTTTGGGAGGCCAAAGTGAGAGAACTGCTTGGGTCCAGGAGTTCCAGACCAGCCTGGGAAACACAGTGAGACCCATCTCTACAAAAAATACAAAATTAGCCCAGCATGGTGGCATGTCCCTATGGTCCCAGCTACTCAAGAGGCTGAGGTAGGAGGAGAGCCTGAGCCCAAGAGGTCAAGGCTGCAGTGGGCCATATTTGTGCCACTGCACTCCAGCCTGGATGACAGAGCAAGACTCTATCTCAATAATAACAACATTAAAAAAAATTATAGCCAGAATGTCAAAAGATTCCAGGATGGAAAGTTGGCTATAAAAAATAAATTTCAGAAGGCCAGGTGCAGTGGCTCACGCCTGTAATCCCAGCACTTTGGGAGGCCGAGGCAGATGGATCACGAGGTCAAGAGATCAAGACCAGCCTGGCCAACATGGTGAAACCCCATCTCTACTAAAAATACAAAAATTAGCCAGGAGTGTGGCATGTGCCTGTAATCCCAGCTACTTAGGAGGCTGAGGCAGGAGAATCGCTTGAACCCAGGAGGCAGAGGTTGCAGTGAGCCGAGATCTTGCCACTGCCCTCCAGCCTGAGTGACAAAACAAGACTCCGTCTCAGAAAAAAAAAAGAATTTCATTGTAGCACAAATGAAAGGCATAACCTCACTGAAGGCAGTGGGGGAAAGGGAGTTGACCTAAGTAGCTTTTGGAAACAGTGATTTGCTTGGATACTCTGAACCTAAATACCAAAAGAATTGTATTTAAATGCTGTTCTTTAGTTGGTAAATTTGGTTCTCACATGCATGCTGATTAGCAGTTCTGATACTCCATGTATCCAAAGGTTGGACAAATAAGTAAATAATTTGTAGATAATGGAAGCCAACTTTCTCACTGTCAAAGAGTGAAGTAACAAATAAGTAAAAAGAGAAGACTAGAATGAATCCTTCCTGATGGATGAGTTAGAAATCATGATTATTTATACATACATGTATGTGTGTTTATATCTACCTATGTTTCCATCTATTTGTATCTACAAATATACATCTACACACACACATGGATGGATGAATGGATAGATAGACAGACAGACAGAAATAGAGATGTGTGTGCATACATGAGTTAATACACATGCATATACTTCCTCACTTTGTCCATTAAAAGGTCCAAGAAGCAGTGATAGCTCAGTAAAAGCAGATACATTAATCACCCATATTTTAGTTTCTAAATACCACTGAAATAAGCCAGATACCAATAAAATAAGCCAGAGCTCCTTGGAGACATGGCTAATTCTAGGTCAGAGGCAAGGAAAATACAAGATGGGAACAGAGCATCTTATAGCATGAGAAAATAAAGAAGTCCTCAAAAAGGATGAGGGAGGCATGTCCAAAGGAGATAGGAGGCTACTTGACACAGTTCCCAGTAACCAAAGCCAGAAAAATGTAGCAATAGTAATTTTTTTTTTTTGACAGAGTCTCATTTTGTCGCCCAGGCTGGAGTGCAGTGGCACAATCTTGGCTCACTGCAACCTCTGCCTCCCCTGTTCAAGCGAGTCTCGTGCCTCAGCCTCCTGAGTAGCTGGGACTATAGGCACATGCCACCACACCTGGATAATTTTTTTGTATTTTTTAGCAAAGACAGGGGTTCGCCATGTTGACCAGGCTGGTCTCAAACTCCTGAGCTTGAGTGATCCGCCCGCCTCAGCCTCCCAAAGTGCTGGGATTACAGGAGTGAGCCACCATGTCCTGCACAATAGTATTTGATTATAACTCAAAGATTGGCATAAAAAAATCCATGAGTTCATACTGATATAATGCATGTTTGAACAAATAAATAAATGGGAGGGAGGGGAAGAGTCAAATCCTCATTACGTAAGAATTCCAAGTAAAGTAAGAGGAACAAGGGAAACATCAAATCACCACAAAAAGCACAACAGCAACAATTGCTGCATGCAGGATTCGCTGATAAACGCTAAAATTAGTGGGAAAAAATTAAAGGAGAAATAAGATATTTGCACCGTTTCAAAGCATATTCCCCCAGAAGTTTATTAATTATTGTGATTTTGACAAGTACCCACAACTTTTTGTTACTCCCCACACCAAGTGATGAATGTTAACTCCCCTTTCCTCAACATCTCAACATGATCTGGACTTAGTAACTTGCTTCTAATAAATATCATATGACAAAAACTAGTAACTTTACATTGGGGAAACCTCACAGACACCACCTTAAACAGGCAATCAAGGTTAACATCATATGGATATCATGTATCCCCTGATATGATACAATGAGAAGGGTACCAGGTGGTGTTCTTCCCCAAAATTCATAACCTCCGTCTAATCATAAGAAAACTTCTGGCCAGACATGGTGGTTCATGCATGTAATCTAATCCTAGCACTTTGGGAGGCAGAGGCAGGCGGATCACTTGAGGTCAAGAGTTCGAGACCAGCCTGGCCAACACGGTGAAACCCTGTCTCTACTAAAAATACAAAAATTAGCCAGCCATGGTGGTGGGCACCTGTAATCCCAGCTACTCGAGAGGCTGAGGCAGGAGAATCACTTGAACCCAGGAGGTGAAGGTTGCAGTGAGCCAAGATCACACCATTGCACTCTAGCCTGGGCGAAAAGAGCAAAACTGTCAAGAAAGAAAGAGAGAATGAGAGAGAGAGAGGGAGGGAGGAAGGGAGAGAAAGAGAGAGGAAGGAAGGAAGGAAGGAAGGAAGGAAGGAAGGAAGGAAGGAAGGAAGGAAGGAAGGAAGGCAGGCAGGCAGGCAGGCAGGCAGGCAGGCAGGCAGGCAGGAAGGCAGGTAGGCAGGCAGGCAGGCAGGAAGGAAGGGAGGAAGGAAAGAAAGAAGGGAGAAAGAAAGAAACAGAAAGAAAGAAAGAAAGAAAGAAAGAAAGAGAAAAGAAAAGAAAACTTCTGATACACTCAAAATGAGGAGCTTTCTACAAAATACCTGATAAATACTCTTCAAAATTGACAAGGTCTTTAAAAAAAGAAAGAAACTAACAATTTGTTATAGATTGGAGGAGGAAAGAGCCACGATGACTAACTGCTATGTGGATTCCTGGAAAAGATCCTGAAAAAGGAAAAGAACATTAGTAGGAAAACAGGCAAAATCATAATAAAGTCCATAGTTTACTTCATATGTCTAGTGTTCCACTATTGGGACGCTAAGGATGTGGGAGTTCTTCATATCCTACTGCTCAAGGTCATCGCCAAGGTCTGATTTTTCAAATTCAAAAAACTGCAACCTCAGGAATAAATGGGTTAATATATTATTCCAAGGTTAATTTCCCAGATTCGATATATTTATAATTATTGTGTGAGATGTTAAAAATAAAGGAATTTGAGGGAAGTACATCAAATAATTATTTGTGCTGTCTTTTCAAATTCTAAAATTATTTTTTTAATTATAAAAGCCACAACAAGATACCACTATTATACCATTATACCATTTATAATGGCTAAAAATTTTTAAACTTATCTATACTACACGGAGGCAAGGCTGTAGAAGAATTGAAATGTTAATACATTGCTGAAGGAAATTAAAAATCAAATATGCAGTGTGGAAAACAGCATGGACGTTTCTTTAAAAATTAAGCATCAACAATATGACCCAACCATTCTGCCTTTTTGATATTCATTCAAGGGAAATATAAATATATATCCACATGAAGACATTTTTTACACAAATGCTTGTATCAGCTTTATTAAAAATAGCCAAAATCTAGAAACAATGCAAATGCTCATCAACGGATAAGCAGATAAAGAAATATGGTTTTCCCATATAATGAAATTACTCAACAATAAAAAGAAAAGACCTCTTAACAAACATTAACAGTGTAGATTAGTCTCAAAATCACATTCTAGAAGAAAGAGTAAAAAAAAAGCAAATTATATATTATATTTACATAAAATTATAGGAAACACCAAATAAACCATTGTAACAGAAAACAGATCAGGCTGGGCACGGTGGCTCATGCCTGTAATCCCAGCACTTTGGGAGGCCGAAATGGGCAGATCATTTGAGGTCAGGAGTTGGAGCCCAGCAGACCAACATGGTGAAACCCCATCTCTACTAAAAATACAAAAATTAGCTGGGCATGGTGGCAGGTGCGTGTAATCCCAGCTACTCAGGAGGCTGAGGCAGAAGAATCACTTGAACCCGGGAGGCAGAGGTTGCAGTGAGCTGAGATTGTGCCACTGCACTCCAGCCTGGGTGACAGAGCAAGACTTCATCTCAAAAAAAAAAAAAAAAAAAAAAAAAAAAAGAAAACAGATCAATAGTTGACTGTGGGTGGTGTTAGAGGGAGACATGGATTGCAAAGAAGTACAGGCAAATTTGAGGGTGATCCAAATAATTGTTTATCTTGATCGTAACAAAAATTTGGGTGTCTGTATGCATATATATATGTATATGTGTATATATCCTGAAAATTATTAAAATGTGCCAAGTCAATCCTAAGCCAAAAGAACAAAGCTGGAGGCATCACGCTACCTGACTTCAAACTTTACTACAAGGCTACAGTAACCAAAACAGCATGGTACTGGTACCAAAACAGACATGTAGACCAATGGAACAGAACAGAGCCCTCAGAAATAATACCACACATCTACAACCATCTGATCTTTGACAAACCTGACAAAAACAAGAAATGGGGAAAGGATTCCCTATTTAATAAATGGTGCTGGGAACACTGGCTAGCCATAAGTAGAAAGCTGAAACTGGATCCCTTCCTTACACCTTATACAAAAATTAATTCAAGATGGATCAAAGACTTAAACGTTAGACCTAAAACCATAAAAACCCTAGAAGAAAACCTAGGCATTACCATTCAGGACATAGGCATGGGCAAGGACTTCATGTCTAAAACACCAAAAGCAATGGCAACAAAAGCCAAAATTGACAAATGGGATCTAATTAAACTAAAGAGCTTCTGCACAGCAAAACAAACTACCATCAGAGTGAACAGGCAACCTACAGAATGGGAGAAAATTTTTGCAATCTACTCATCTGACAAAGGGCTACTATCCAGAATCTACAAAGAACTCAAACAAATTTACAAGAAAAAAACAAACAACCCCATCAAAAAGTGGGCTAAGGATATGAACAGACACTTCTCAAAAGAAGACATTTATGCAGCCAACAGACACATGAAAAAATGCTCATCATCACTGGCCATCAGAGAAATGCAAATCAAAACCACAATGAGATACCATCTCACACCAGTTAGAATGGCAATCATTAAAAAGTCAGGAAACAACAAGTGCTGGAGAGGATGTGGAGAAATAGGAACACTTTTACACCATTGGTGGGACTGTAAACTAGTTCAACCATTGTGGAAGTCGGTGTGGCGATTCCTCAGGGATCTGGAACTAGAAATACCATTTGACCCAGCCATCCCATTACTGGGTATATACCCAAAAGATTATAAATCATGCTGCTATAAAGACACATGCACACGTATGTTTATTGCGGCACTATTCACAATAGCAAAGACTTGGAAACAACCCAAATGTCCAACAATGATAGATTGGATTAAGAAAATGTGGCACATATACACCATGGAATACCATGCAGCCATAAAAAATGTTGTGTTCACATCCTTTGTAGGGACATGGATGAAGCTAGAAACCATCATTCTCAGCAAACTATTGCAAGGACAAAAAACCAAACACCATATGTTCTCACTCATAGGTGGGAACTGAATAATGAGAACACCTGGACACAGGAAGGGGAACATCACACACCAGGGCCTGTCATGAGTTGCGGGGAGGGGGTAGGGATAGCATTAGGAGATATACCTAATGTAAATGACAAGTTAATGGGTGCAGCACACCAACATGGCACATGTATACATATGTAACAAATCTGCACGTTGTGCAAATGTACCCTAGAACTTAAAGTATAATAAAAAAAGAAAAAAAAAGTACATTGTCAAAATCTCAATTATTTTACTTCAATCATCTCTCAGTAAAGTTGCTAAAAGTCACTGAAATATACACTTGAAATGGGTGCATTGTGATTTGTAAAATATGACTCAATCAAGTTATTGAAAAATCCATGATATGTTCAAGAAACTTTTTTAAATTACAAAAAAGAGAAAAATAAAGATAATTTGAGAAATAATTAGAATCTAATTAAAATATATATAAACAAAAATAAACAGAAAATTAAAAATGCATAATGACTAAAACCAAAGAGGGGGTAAAACAGTAACATGTGGGTCATGCTTAAAAGCTCCAATGTGTATAATTAGCATTTCAGAGAGAAGAGAGGGAATTCACCAAAAGCAATATAAGATTAAATACAAACTGAGAATTGTCCAATACTGATAATATATTTAAATGCAAATAATTAAATAATTCTGTGAATATCAAGCTTGAGAAATGAAAAAAAACTATATCTAAATACAGTAAGACTACTGAAAACTTTAAAACAGTCAGGGGAAAAAATGTTACCATTTTACTTTCAAATGAGAAATGATAAGACTGACAGTCCCAGGAATGATGGAATCAAGAAGAAAGTAGAATAATACCTTTTAAAGTTATAAAAGAAAAATAACTACTAGCTTAAAATTCCACACCCAGTAAAAATAACCATCATCAATGAGTGCTGGAAAAAATATATTTTCAAAAGAATACTGAGAGAATCCACTGGGCACCAATAAACCTGCATTGAAAGAAACACTAAAGAAAGTTCCTTGGGTAGGAAAGGATCCCAGAGAAAAGTAGAAAGGACTAAGAACAATTGAAAAATTAAGTGTGTGAATAAGTATAACTAAATAGTGATTAAATGATCATTATTCAAAAAATAGCAATGTATTAAGGGTTTTAAAATATGCACAATGAAAGTATATTACAACAATAAAGCAAAAGAGGAAAAGACTTAAAAAGAGTTGATTTTGTTTGTTTGTTTGTTTGTTTGTTTGTTTTTTGAGATGGAGTCTTGCCTTGTCGCAAGAGTACGATCCGGCGAGAGACTGGAGTGCAGTGGTGCGATCTTGGCTCACTGCAACCTCCACCTCCCGGGTTCAAGTGATTCTCTTGCCTCAGCTTCCCATGTAGCTGGGATTACAGACTCACACCACCACACCTAGTTAATTTTTGTATTTCTAGTAGAGATGGTGCTTCACCATGTTGGCCAGGCTAGTCTCGAATTCCTGGCCTTAAGTGATCTGCCCGCCTTGGCCTCCCAAGGTGCTGGCATTACAGGCATGTGCCACCATGCCCAGCCCTTTTTGGTTGTTTTTTAATTCATTTTTTCACATTTTTGAAAATTGCAATAGCTTTTCAGGTACAAGTGGTTTCTGGTTACATGGAGAATTGTATAGCTGTGAATCTCAGATTTTAGTGCATCTGTTACCCAAGTAGTGTACATTGTACCCAATATATAGTTTTTTATCCCTCACCACCCCCCCACCACCAACCTTCCAGTCTTCTGAGTCTCCAATATCTATTATACCTCTCTGTATGCCTTTGCATACACATAGTTTAGCTCCCACTTATAATTGAGAATGTATATTTGGTTTTCCATTTCTGAGTTAACTTCACTTAGAATAATGTCATCCAGATCCATTGAAGTTGCTGCAAAAGACATTATTTTATTCTCTTTTATGGCTCAGTAGTATGCCACACTATATATATACCACATTTTCTTTACCCACTCATCAGTTGATGGATACTTAGGTTGGTTCCATATCTTTGCAAATTGTGTTGCAATAAACATGTGTGAAGGTGTCTTTTTGATGTGATGACTTCTTTCCCTTTGGAAAAAAAATCCAGACATGGGATTGCTAGATTGAATGATAGGTCTACTTTTAGTTTTTTGAGAAATGCCCATATTGTTTTCCATATAGGTTGTACTAATTTACATTCCCACCAGCAGTGTGTGTTTCCTTTTCACCACATCCATGCCAACATCTGTTGCTTTTGACTTTTTAATAACAGCCATTCTGGCTGGGGTAAGGTGATATTTCGCTGTGGTTTTAATTTGCATTTCTCTGATGATTAGTGATGTTGAGCATTTTTTCATGTTTGTTGGCCATTTGTGTATCTTCTTTTGAAAAGTGTCTATTCATGTCATTTGTCCATTTTCTGATGGGATTGTTTTTTTTTTTCTTGCTGATTTATTTGAGCTTCTTGTAGATTCTGGATATTAGTCATTTGTCAGATGCATCATTTGCAAATATTTTCTCCCATTCTGTGGTTTGTGTGTTTACTCTGATTATTCTTTTGCTGTGCAGAAGCATTTGAATTTAATTATGTTAAAATAGGCTAATACTGAAACTTTTCAGTGTTAGTGTGGAAAAGGTAAAAGAATAATTTATGCTAGATTGTAATGAGTCAAATGTATTAGTTAATCTCTAGGGAATTCACTAAAGGAATAGCAAAAGGTAACAAGTTAATACAGGGGGCAAAAGAACTAATTTTTTAAATGGTCAATCAAAAATATGGTAAGAGAGAAATGCAATAGAAAACATAATCACAAAAAGAGAATGGAAAAAATAGTAAAAAACAACTGGACAAAAAATATGTGTGTAATGCACAGAATATTGATTCACAAACTGATTATCAATAACTTATATTTTCAAATATATATAAATTTAAGTTATGAAAGAGAAAACAGAATAATATTCTTCAATAAATTAAGGTAAAAAAGAAGAGGAAAAAAAGATAAAATAACAAATAAAAAAGAGAAAAGTGATAACCATAAACCCAAATAAATCAGTCACTATATTGACTGTAAGTAGATAAATACCCGCAATCAGGCTAGGCGCGTTGGCTCACGCCTGTAATCCCAACAATTTAGGAGGCTGAGGCGGGTGGATCACCTGAGGTCGGGTGTTCCAGACCAGCCTGACCAACATGGAGAAACCACCCTCATCTCTACTAAAAAAAAAATACAAAATTAGCTGGGCATGGTGGCACATGCCTGCAATCCCAGCTACTCGGGAGGCTAAGGCAGGAGAATCGCTTGAACCCTGGAGGCGAAGGTTGCGGTGAGCCGAGATCGCGCCACTGCACTCCAGCCTGGGCGACAGAGCGAGACTCCGTCAAAAACAAAACAAAACAAAACAAAACCCAAGCAAAAGTCTAGAATTGTCAGATTAGATTTGATTTTTAAAAACCAATAAAATGACTAGCATCCCCAATGACATAACTTCAGACTAAAAAGAAGGGAAAATCCCTGTGAACATGTTCACAGATGCCAGCAACTGTGACCCTCCCCCGTCCCCCACCCTGTTGTTGCGGGCGTAAGCATGTGCCGGAATGCTGTTACTCCATTTGTGCCAGTGCCCCACACTTGCCAACACATGCACCCTGCCACATTCACCCTGCCACACTGCACCCTACACCCTGCCACACTGCTGTGGCTACTGGCAGGCACAAGTGAGCAAGGATCCTGCTGCCACCATTTAAATGAAGCACTCTGGCCAGCATCTCCCATCAGATCATTGGGCCAACAGAATGGGAACACCTCAGTTCCTCCAGCACAGCAGGTTCCTAACTTCAAGGGGCCAGAGAACAAAGCTGGGGGCCTGGCACCAAGCCTCAAGAGTTAGAGCAGGCAGCCCAGGAGTGCTGAGCTGGGGCTTGATCCCCTAAAATCTTCCCGAAATAAAGCTAGTTGACTGAACCCACATTATGCCACAATCAAACCCCCAAGGGCATCAAAGAAAATGAAAGCAAAAAATCTCATTCAAAGGACAACTTCAAAGATTGAAGGAATATGAGTCCACACAGTTGAGAAAGAACCAGTGCAAGAACTCTAGCAACTCAAAAAGCCAGAGTATCCTCTTACCTCTTAATGACTGCACTGGTTCGCCAGCAATGGTTCTTAATGAGGCTGTAATGGCTGAAATGACAGACATAGAATTCAGAATATGGATAGGAATGAAGATTATTGAGATTCAGGAGAAAGCTGAAACCCAATTCAAGGAGTCTAAGGAATACAATAGAATGATATGGGAGCTGAAAAATGAAGTGGCCATTTGAAGAAGAACCAAATTCATCAGATAGAGCTAAAAAACTCACTTTGAGAATTTCATAATACCATCACAAGTATCAACAGCAGAATTGACCAAGCTGAGGAAAGAATCTCAGAGCTCGAAAAAAAAACAATTCTCTTAATTAAATCAGTCAGACAAAGACAGACAGACAGAGAGAGAATTAAAAAGAATGAACAAAACCTCTGATAAATATGAGAAAATGTGAAGAGACCAAATCTATGACTCATAGGCCAAATCTATGACTTGGAGTCACTGAAAGAGAGGAAGAGAAAGCAAGCAACTTGGAAAGCGAATTTGAGGATACTGTCCATGAAGGTATCTAACCTTGCTAGAAAAATGCAGGGACTGCGATTTTAACTTCAGACCAAACAGACTAAGCCAACAATGGTTAAAAAAAAAAAAAAGATGAAGAACGGCATTACATAAATGGTAAGGGGTTCGATTCAACAAGAAGACCTAACTATTCTAAATATATATGCATCAAACCCAGAAGCACCAAGGTCTTCTAAGACCTTGAAAAGAGACTGAGATAATCACATAATAATAATGGGATAGATCAACAGCCCACTTATAGTATTCGACAGATCGTCAAGGCAGAAAACTAATGAAGACATTCAGGACTTGAACTTGGCACTCAACAAAATGGACCTAACAGATATCTACAGAAATCTCCATTCAAAAACAAAAGAATATACATACTTCTCATTTGCACATGGCACATACTCTGAAATTGACTACACAATCAGCTATAAAACAATTCTCAGCAAATTAAAAAAAAATGAAATCATACCAAACACAACATTCAACCACAGTGCAATAAAAATAGAAATCAATACTAAGAAAATCATTCAAAAACCATACAATTACATGGAATTTAAACAACCTGCTCCCGAATGCCATTTGGGCAAACAATGAAATTAAGCAACAAATCAAGAAATGATTTGAAACTAATGAAAATAAATATATAACATAGCAGACAGAATCTCTGGGACACAGCTAAAGCAGTGGTAAGAGGAAAATTTATAGTGCTGAATCCCACATCAAAAAGTTAGAAAGATCTCGAATGAACAACCTAACATCATACCTAGAGAAATGAGAAAAGAAAAGAGATCAAAACAACTCCAAAGGGAGTAGTAAACAAGAAATAACCAAAATCAGAGCTGCACTGAATGAAACCGAGATGTGAAAAACCATACAGAAGATCAACAAATCCAGGAGTTCATTATTTCAAAGAATAAATAAGATTGATAGATCACTATCTAGTCTAATAAAGGAAAAAAGAGAGAAGAGCCAAATAAACACAGTCAGAAATGACAAAGAGAACATTACTACTGAACTGAAATGCAAAAAAAAACCCAGTGACAACAACCCTTAGAGACTACTCTGAACACCTCTGTGCACACAAACTAGAAAACCTAGAAAAAAATGAATAAATTCCTGGAAACATACAACCTCCCAAAATTGAACCAGGAAGTAATGGAATCCTTGAACAGACTAAAAATTAGTTACAAAATTGAATCAGTAATAAAAAGCCTACCAACCAGAAAAAGCCCAGGACTAGATGGATTAACAGCTGAATTCCACCAGGTGTATAAAGAAGAGCTGGTAATATTGCTACTGAAACTATTCCAAAAAATTGAGGAGGAGGGACTCTTTCCTAACTTATTCTATGAGGCTGGCATCATTCTAATACCAAAACCTAGCAGAGACACAACAAAAACAGAAAACATCAGGCCAATATCATTGATGAACATAGATGCAAAAATCCTCAGCAAAATACTAGCAAACTGAATCCAGCAACATATCAAAAAGCGAATCCACCACAAATGGGTAGGCTTTATCTCTGGGATGCCAGGTTAGTTCAGCATATACAAATTAATGTGATTCGTCACATAAACAGAACTAAAAACAAAAGCCACATGATTATCTCAATAAATGTAGAAAAGGTTTTGATAAAATGGAACATTCCTTAATGTTAAAAACCCTCAACAAACTAGGCATTAAAATAACATACCTCAAAAAAAAAAGTCATATATAACAAACCCAGGGCCAACATCATACTGAACAGGCAAAAGCTGGAAGCATTCCGCTGAGAACCAAAACAAGACAAGGATGCCCATTATCATGACTCCTATTCAACACAGTATTGGAAATCCTAGCCAGAGCAATCAGCAAGAGAAAGAAATAAAGGGCATCCCAATAGCAAGAGATTGGAAGTCAAACTATCTCTGTTTGTGGATGATTAATTCTATACCTAGAAAACCCCATAGTCTCTCCCAAATGTTCCTTGATCTGATAGTCAATTTCTGCAAAGTTTTAGGATACAAAATCAATACACAAAAATCCGTAGCATTTCTATACAACAACAATGTCCAAGTGGAGAGCCAAATTAAGAACACAATTCCATTCAAAATATCCCCCAAAAGAATAAAATACCTAGAAATAAAGCTAACTAAAGAGGTGAAAGATTTCTACAATGAGAATTATAAAACACAACCCAAAGAAATCCAAGATGACACAAACAAACAGAAAAATATCCTATGCTCATAGATAGGAAGAATCAATATTGTTAAAATGGCCATACTGATGCCATGCTACTGTGCAATTTACAGATGCAATGCTATCCCTATTGAACTACCAATGGCATTCTTCACAGAATTGGAAAAAACTATTTTACAATTCATATGGAACCAAAAAGAGCCCAAATAACCAAAGCAATCCTAAGCAAAAAGAACAAAGCTGGAGGCATCACATTACCTGACTTCAAACTATACTACAAGGCTACAGTAGCCAGAACAGCATGGTACTCAAACAAAAAGAGACACATAGACCAATGGAACAGAATAAAGAGCCCAGAAAGAAAGCCATACACCTGCAACTATCTGATCTTTGACAAAGTAAACAGAAACAAGCAATGGGGGAGGGCCTTCCTATTCAATAAATGGTGCTGGGATAACTGGCTAGTCATAGGCAGAAGACTGAAACTGGACCCCTTCCTTACATCATATTTAAAAAATTAACTCAAGATGAATTAAAGACTTAAATGTAAAACCAAAAACTAAAATCACTGGAAAACAACCTAGGAAATACAATTCTGGACATAGACCCTGGCAAAGATTTCACAAAAAAGACACCAAAAGCAATTGCAACATAAACAAAAATTGACAAAGGAGACCTCAGTAAACTAAGGAGCTTCTGCACAGCAAAAGAAACTATCAACAGAGTAAACAGACAACTTACAGAGTGGGAGAAAAATTTTGCAAACTATGCAAACTATGCATCCAATAAAGGTCTAATATCCAGAATCTGTAAGGAACTTAAATGAATTTACAAGCAAAAGACAACCCCATTAAAAAGTGGGAAAAGGACATGAACAGACACTTCAAAAGATGATATGCACATAGCTAACAAGCATATGAAAAAGTGTTACATATCACTAATCATTTAAAAAATGCAAATCAAAACTATAATGATGTACCACCTCACACCAGTCAGAATAGCTATTATTAAAAAATAAAATAATAACAGATGTTCGTGAGGTTGTGGAGAAAAACAAATGCTTCTACACTGCTGGTGTAATGTAAATTAGCTCAGCCATTGCGGAAAGTAGTGTGGCGACTTCTCAAAAATTAAAACAAAATTACTATTTCACCCAGCAATTTCGTTATTGGGTATATATCCAAAGGAATATAAATCATTCTATTATAAAGACACATACACATGTAGGTTCACTGCTGAACTATTTACAATGGCAGACATGAAGTCAACATTAATGCCCATCAATGGTAAACTGGATAAAGTAAATGTGGTACATATACACCATGGAATACTATGTAGCTATAAAAAAAAAATGAGATCATGTCCTTTGCAGAAAATTAGATGGAGATGGAGGCCATTTTCCTAAGCAAACTAACACAAGAACAGAAAACAAAATACTATGTGTTCTCACTTATAAGTGGAAGCTAAACATTGAGTACAAATGGACACTTGAGTACATGAGGGTGGAGGGTGGGAGGGAGAGGATTGAAAAGCTACCTATCAGGTACTATGCTAATTACCTGGGTGATGAAATAATCTGTACACCAAACCCCCATGACATGCAACTTACCTATATAACAAACCTGCATATATACCCCTGAAGCTAAAATAAGTTTTATAAGATATAAAATAAAAATAAGAAAAAAATAGGTAAATCCACAACCACAATATGAAACAATAAAATGAGATACCGTCTTTTCAAGGGCACATGAAATATTTACCTCTATGGTGGTCATATAGTAAGCCAAGATAATATTTAAAGAGCCAAAATCATTTACAAATTTGCTGATCACAGTGAAAATAAGTTAGAAACTATTAAATGACTAACCAAAAAAACGACTAGAAAAACTTCTATGCTTGGAAAATAAGCAATATGCCTCTAATAAACCCTGGGTCAAAAACAATTTTGTTTAGTAAATGAAATAATGTTTGAGCTGGATAACATTGAAAGTAAAATATGTCAAAATATACGGAATTCAGCTAAAACAGTACTGTAAAGTAAATTCATAGCTTTAAATGAAAGAAAAATAAACACAAAAATAAATTATCTAACCACACATAGCAAGAAGCCAGAAAAAAGAACAAATCATAATAAAATATATTGGAAAATAAAATAAATAAGAACAAAGATTAATAAAAATTTTAAACAAAACAAAGTAATAAGGCCAAAATTTGTTTTTTGAAAAGAATAAAGGGATGAAAACAACAAAAATCAGGGTAAGAAAACAATTTTTTTTGTGCCATGATATTTGACAATTTAGATGAAGTGGAAATACTTATTGAAAATCACATCTTAACAAACTGACTCAAGAAATAATATAAAATCTAAATGTATATACTAGCATGTGTGTGTAAATATACATATTCAATGACAGTTTGCTTCACTAGTGAATTATTCTGAACATTTAAGAAAGAAGTTGCAGCAACTTCATACAAACTCGTTCAGAAATAGAGAAAAATACACACTTTTTATCTCATTATAAGAGCCCCAGCATTCAATAGTCTTAATAATAAGACTATTGAATACTAAAACTGAAAAGGACATTGCCACATAAGAAAATTTCAGACAAATTCTCCATGAACATAAAGAAATTATTAACAAAATGTTAGAAAATCAAATGTGATACACAACAAGGATAATAAATTATTACTAAGCATAATTTGAGCAATGAAAAATGGCTCAACTTCCAAAAACCCATCAGTGTGAGAGTTTCTGAAGAAGATGATGTAGACTCATTTCTCCCTGCTCTTCTCTGCTATGTACAACTACAAACACTGGAAATAATGCAAAAGGCAATGAAAGGAGAATTCTGAAAGATGGGAAGAGGAAGACAAAATAGTAATGGAACTCAGCGCTAGAGGAAAAACATAGTGACAGGGTGTCTTACGGCCCCCAACAACATAAAAAATGCAACAAACACAGACCTAGAATTTTCTAAATTCCAACCAAGCAACAGAAGATGGTCCGGGTAGGCTCATTCTTCTCCCAGCCAGACCAGACAAGCAATACCAAAAGGACAATCAATCAGAAGTCCTGCTGAAAAGAAATGGCCCAGCCCTAGAAGCACTACCCTTCCACACTAACTACCCTCCACACCAACCTGGGACTCCCCTGAACCACCATGAGAAACCAGGCACCAAGAGCAGCACTGGCAAGGAGATCTCATCATTATTGGACACAGCCCAGGAATCCTCTCTGTCATTGAGGGTCCAAGACTCCACACCCCCACTGAGAGATACTCAGGCAGCTGGGCAGGACCAGCAAGGGTGATTCCACCTAGCCCATAAAAACTCTTCATCCCTATAGGCTGGAATCTTTTCTCCTCCACCCAGTGTCAGCAGGTGGCATTGGCAAGGGGGATCCTGCCACAAGCAGTCCCCAGCCAGGGAAGTGCCCTCCTTTCCCTAGAGGCAGGATAGTCTTGTCACAAGTGCCCTGCCTGGGAAGTGTTCCTCATTCTCACAGGCCATTCTTCAACTACAGAAACCAGGCGGCCCAGCCTGGAAAATCCCTGTCATACTTCTTGGGAATCACAAAGAAAGATCAGAGGAAGCCCCAACAGCACCAGATAAACTAAGTAGACCAAAATAGTACCACAAAATAACACCAGCTCCTAAAATTAAGTAGTCACTGAAAGCACAGCAGATAAAAGTAGGCCAGACATGTGTGCTAAAACTAACCAGGATATAACTCCCAACAAAAAAAAAAAAAAAAGATTTAAGCAGAACACACAGCTTCCTAAGACAATATCACAATGTTCAAGATATAATCAAGAACTAGGAAAACCACAACTTGAATAAGAAAAAATGATCAACTGATGCTAAGACCAGGATGGATCAGATGTTTTAATTATCTGACTATAATTTTAAATAAATAATCATAAAAATGCTTCAACAAGCAATTACAAATTCTCTTGAAACAAAAGGTAGAAAATCTCATCAAAGGACAAGAAGATATAGAATAGAACTAAATGGAAATTATGGAATTGAAATATAGAATAACTAAAACGAAACACTCACTGGATGAAATCAATCATAGTGTTTAGATAATAGAGGATACAGTCAGCAAACTGGAGAACAGATGAATAAAATGTACCCAATGTGACAAACAGAGAGAAAACAGATTGATAAAGAAATGAACAGAGCCTCAAGGGTGTATGGGACAATAACAAGAGATCCAACGCCAACATTAATTCCACTGAAATTCCAGAAAGCGAAGAGAAAGAGACTGAGGCTGAAAGACTATTCAAATAAATAATGATTAGCAGTTTGACAAATTTCGTGGAAGATGTAAACCTGGAAATTCAAGAAGAATTCAAACAAGATAAGCCCAAATAAATCCATGTCAAGACATATCATAATAAAACTTCTGAAAACTAAATTTTTTAAAAGAAATCTTGAAAGCACCTAGAAAGAAACTACCCAGAAGAATACAAAACTACAGTGAATTGAGAATATGAAACTATGGTAATCAGTAGAAAATGGCATAACACATTTAAATTCCTGAAAGAAAAGAACTCTCAACCATAAATTCTGTCTGTCTTTCTGACATAAAGAGGAAATAAAGACATTCTCAGATGAAGGAAGACCAAAAGAATATGTGCCTAGAAGACCAATCCTTCGAGACTGGATAAATAACATTTACTAAGCAAAAAGAAAATAAAAGCATTATTGGAGCTTTAGGAAGTAAAAACAACAGAAATATGAGTATATACTATCCTTCTTCTTCTGAGTTTTATAAATTTATTTGATAATTGAAACAGAAACTATAACACCATTTGATACTCAGGACAATGACATTTAAAAGTATGAAAGGTAAAGGTACCTAAATGGAAGTAAGATTTCTACACTTCACTCAAAGTGGCAAAATGTTAACACCAATAAACTGATAAGTCACATATGTGTATTGTAATAGTCAGAGCAACCACTAAGAAAACTACACAGAGATATACACTAAGAGAAACAGAAAAATTAAAAACAGAGGAAATAAACAATTATGATTTAGCACTTACTTAAATGCTAAAACAACAATACTTATCTTAAGGATGTAAATATGCCAATTAAAAGGCAAAAATGGGAAGAATAGATTTTTTAAAAATCCAACTAAATGCTGTTTGCAAAAAAAAAGTTACTTCAAAGGCAATAACATGGTGGGTTAATGTCAAAAAATTCAAAAATATACCATGCAGACATTAATTTTTAAAAAGTAGGAGTGACTATATTAATATCAGGTAAATAAAATCAACAGAGATAAAGAGGGACATTACAAAATTTTAAAAGGAAAAATCCATCAGGAAGACATAATGATCCTAAATGTGTATGCTCCAAACAACAGATCTTCAAAATGCATGAAGAAAAAACTGATAAAGCTGAGAAGAAAAATAGACAAGTCCATAATTATAGTTGGGGACATCAACAACCCCATCTCGGCATCTGATAGAACCAATAGATTAACAAGGATATTGAAACTCTGAACAACACAATTGATATGGTTTGGCTGTGTCCCCACCCAAATCTCACCTTGAATTGTAATAATCCCCACATGCCAAGGGTGGGGCCAGGTGAAGATAATTGAACGATGGGGGCAATTTCCCCATACTGTTCTCATGGTAGTGAGTAAGTCTCATGAGATCTGATGATTTTATAAATGGGACTTCCCCTGCACAATCTCCCTTGCTGACCGCCAGGTAAGACGTGATATTGCTCCTCCTTTGCCTTCCATCATGATTGTGAGGCCTACCCAGTCATGTGGAACTGTGAGTCAATCAATTAAACCTCTTTCCTTTAAAAATTACTCAGTCTTGGGTATGTCTTTATTAGCAGTGTGAGAACAGACTAATACAACAATCAACCAATAATATCTAATTGACACATATAGAACATTTATCCCAATATCAGCAGAATATACATCTTTTCAAGTTCCACTGATTATTCACAAAGATAGATCATATCCTAAACAATAAAGAGACTTCAATGAATTTTAAAGAACTGATATCATACAGAGTATGTTATCTGATTATAATGGAATCAGACTAGAATTCAATAAGAGAAAAACAAAAGGATGATCCTTAAACATGTGGAAAGTAACAATAAAGTTTTAACCTAAGCCATAAATCAAATAGTAAATTTCAAAGGAAATTCTTAGAAAATATATAGAACTGAATATAAATGAAATGCAACATATTAAATTATGTAAAATGCAGCCAAAATAGTTCTAATAGGAAAATTTATAGCACTAAAAGCTTATATTAGAAAAACATAAATGTCTCAAATAATCTAAGGTTCTACTTCAAGGAGTAAAAAAAAGCAAAATAAATTCAAAGCAAGCAGAAATAAAAGATGAGAGCAGAAATTAATAAAATTGAAAATAGAAATATAATTTTTAAAATGAAACAAAATATTGTTCTTCAAAAAATCAATAAAGGAGGGGAGGACAAGATGACCAACTAGATGTAGACAAGTGGAATAGCTCCCATGGAGGGATGGAAATGACTGGTATGCTTTTAACAGATCTTCAGAGGGAAGGCACCGAGAGTGGATGGAGGAAAGACACACAAGCTAGATTGAAGAGGGAGAAAACTGTTAACCCCACAAGGGCTACTGAGCCCTGGGATTCATTTTTGACCTACAACAGCTCTAGGGGAATGGATGAATTGAACTGGCAAGAAGCAACCCACTCTCACCACAGGCCTCTGGATTCCAGGCAGGAGAGGACCCCTTGACCATCACGGACACTTGAGATAGCAGGGATAGCTGATTAGAGAAGTGGTGGGGCAGCAGCCAGCTGATGTAGAGTATAGAGGCTTTGGTATAGGTGCAGCTGTAGTGGAGCATGGCCAGGTACAGCTATCTCCCTAGGCTCAACTTCCTCCTAAATAAGAGACTTTAGCTTTAGGGGAACTGTCAGACTTGATCTCTGTAGGGTGGTCTTGCACATCAAACAGGACTGGTCCAACCTGAGCACTCCTTGGCCTGCTTACCTCTCCTGGGGCCCCAGCATCACCATGCCTGCTTATAAGGCAGCGTCAGGTGCCCTGGTGGCACACACCATAGCTTCTGCACCAGAGGACCAAGCCCGACAGGTGGAGAGCTCCAATGAAGTGGCTCCTGTGGCTGCACACCAGCCCACATGCCACCTCCCCATATTGCAGCTTCCCCTGAGCCCACAGCAACTCCACACATCACATTGTTAGCATGTGTCTGCACAGGTGGGTTTTGCTTTACTTGCCCTGCCAGCATGTGGGAGTGCAGTTTGTCTCCCCACCCCCACCACCGACTGTCACTGCAGACAGAGCCTTCGTGGCACACAGCCAGGAAGCCCTGCCTCCACTAGTGTCCCATACTTGTGCTAATGCTGCACAGAGAACAAAGGATCCTCCCACAACCTGAGCAATCACTAGCTTATGGGGGCACAGAGAAAGCACCCAGACCTATGCCAGCCAGCACCTTGTCCCAAACCAACTCCACCTCCAGCACAACAGTGCACATAGTCTCCATCAGGGTTCCTCCTACTACCAGCTGCCTTGCCTCTGCCACTATGGTGAATGCCCACAGTGAGGCTGGCACCCCTGCCCATGCTAACACTCTGTTGCAGCTGTCGCACCTTGGCATCCCCAGCACAGTGGACTCCAAACCTCTAGGAGTCAGAGAACAAAGTTGGGGCCCAATACAAGTTCTCCAGAGTTAGAGCATGCAGTCCAGGAGTTGGGAGCTGAGCACTGGCCCCTGAAAATCTCCCAGAAATAAAGCAAGTTAGTGAATCCACCTTATACTACAATCAAGTCCTCAGAGTCATCGAATAGGACAAAAGGAGAAAAAAAAAAAACCATCCAGAGGTCAGCAACCTCAAAGATTGAAGTTAGATAAGCCCACAAAGATGAGAAAGAATCAGCACAAGAATGCTGAAAACTCAAAGCCAGAGTGTCTTCTTTCCTCCAAATGACCGCATCATCTCTCCAGCAAGGGTTCAGAACCAGACTGAGGCTAAGGTGACTGAAATGACAGAAATAGAATTCAGAATATGGATAAGAACAAAGCTCACGAAGCTACAGGAGTAGGTTGAAACCCAACGTAAGGAAGGTAAAAATCATGATAATATATTGCAGGAACTGACAGACAAAATAACCAGTTTACAGAAGAACATAACTGACCTTATAGAGCTGAAAAAACACTACAAGAATTTCATAATGCAATCACAAGTATTAATAGCAGAAGACAAAAGGTGGAAAGAATCTCAAAGTCTAAAGACTGCCTTTCTGAAATAAGACAGGCAGACAAAAACAGAGAAAAATGAATAAAAAGAAATGAACAAAACCATCAAGAAATATGGGATTATGTAAAGAGACCAAACCTATGACTGACTTGTGTACCTGAAAGAGATGCAGAGAATGGAACCAACTTGGTAAATATATTCCAGGATATCATCCATGAGAACTTCCCCAACCTAGCTAGAGAGGTTAACATTCAAATTCAGGAAATGTAGAGAACCCCAGTCAGATAGTTCACAAGAAGATCATCCCCAATACACATAATCATCAGATTCTCCAAGGTTAAAATGAAAGAAAAAATGTTAAAGGTAGCTAGAGGAACAGACCAGGTCACCAACAAGGGAAGCTCATCAAACTAACTACAGACCTCTCAGCTGAAATCCTACAAGCCAGAAGAAATTGAGCACTGATATTCAACATTCTTAAAGAAAGAAATTCCAACCCAGAATTTCATATCCAGCCAAACTAAGCTTCATTAGCAAAGGAGCATTTTCAGATAAGAAAATGCTGAGGGAATTTGTTACCACCAGAACTTCCTTACAAGAGCTCTTGAAGGAAGCACTAAATATGGAAAAAAATACTTACCAGCTACTACAAAAATACACTGAAGTACACAGACCAGTGACACTATAAAGCAACCACACAAACAAGTCTGCATAATAACCAGCTAACATAATGATGACAAGATCAAATCCACACATATCAATAATAACCTTAAATATAAATGATCTAAATGCCCACAATTAAGCACAAGTGGCAAGCTGGATAAAGAACCAAGATCCATTGTTATGCTGTCTTCAAGAGACCCATCTCACATGCAGTGACACACATAGGCTCAAAATAAAGAAAGGAAAAAAATCTACCAAGCAAATGGGAAACAGAAAAAAGCAGAGGTTGTAATCCTTGTCTCTGACAAAACAGACTTTAAATCAATAAAGATAAAAAAAGACAAAGAAGTACATTGCATAATGGTAAAGTGTTCAATTCGGTGAGAAGATCTAACTATCCTAAATATATATCCATCCAACACAGGATCACCAAGATTCATAAAGCAAGTTCTTAGAGACATTCAAAGAGACTCAGACTCCCACACAATAATAGTGGGAGACTTTAACACCCCACTGACAATATTAGACAGAGCACTGAGAGAGGAAATTAAGATATTCAAGACCTGAACTCAGCACTGGATCAAATAGAACTTATGGATATCTACAGACCTCTCTACCCAAAAACAACAGAATAAACATCTTCTCATTGCCACATGGCACATATTTTACAATTGATCACATAATCCAAAGTAAAACACTCATCAGCCAATGCAAAAGAACCAAAATTATAACAGTCTCTCATACCACAGTGTAATTAAATTAGAAATCAAGACAAAGAAATTCACTCCAAAGCCTCCAATTACATGGATCATATGAATGACTTTCTGGTAAATAATAATATTAAAGCAGAAATCAAGAAGTTATTTGAAGCTAATAAAACAAAGACACAATGTACCAGAATCTCTCAGACATAACTAAGGCAGTGTTAACGTGAAATTTATAGCACTAAATGCCCACATGAAAAGGTTAGAAAGATCTCAAGTTAACAACCTAACATCACAACTAAAAGAACTAGAGAACCAAAAGCAAACAGATCTCAAAGCTAGCAGAAGGAAAGAAATAACCAAAATCAAAGCTAAACTGAAGGAAAACCATTCAAAAGATCAATGAATCCAGGAGCTGGTTTTGTGAAAAAAATAAAATAAAATAGATAGACTGCCAGTTAGACAAATAAGAAAACAGAGAAAATTCAAATAAACACAACCAGAAATAAAAGCAGCATATTACCATTGACTCCACAGAAATACAAACAACCATCAGAGAATATTATGAATATTTCTAGGCATATAAGCTAGAAAATCTAGAAGAAATTGATAAATTCGTGTCACATACACCCTCCCAAGACTGCACCACGAAGAAACTGAAACCCTGAACAGACTAATAATGAGCTCTGAAATTGAGGCC
This sequence comes from Homo sapiens, assembly GCF_000001405.40. Classification (NCBI taxonomy): domain Eukaryota; kingdom Metazoa; phylum Chordata; class Mammalia; order Primates; family Hominidae; genus Homo; species Homo sapiens. The sequence goes on from NC_000010.11 coordinate 85,840,105, forward strand.
ATAATAAATAGCCTACCGACCCCAAAAGCCTAAGACCAGAGAGATTCACAGCTGAATTCTACCTGAGGTACTAAGAAGAGCTGGTACTATTCCTACTGAAACTGTTCTAAAAAATTGAGGAGGAGAAGGGACTCCTCCCTATCTCATTCTATGAGGCCAGCATCATCTTGATACCAAAACCTGGCAGAGATACAACCAAATAAGAAAAGTTGAGACCAATATCCTTGAACCTCAAAATAATAAGAGCCATATGTAAAAAACCCACAGCCATCATCATACTGAATAGGCAAAGGCTGGAAGCATTCCCCTTGAAAACTGGCACAAGACAAGGATGCGCTCTCTCACCACTTCTATTCAACATAGTATTAGAATCCCTGGCCAGGGCAATCAGACAAGAGAAAGAAATAAAGTGCATCCAAATAGGAGGAGGAGAAGTTAAACTATCCCTGTTTGCAGATGATATGATCCTATATTTAGAAAACCACATAGACTCTGATCAAAAGTTTCTTAAACTGATAAAGAACTTCAGCAAAGTCTTAGGGTACAAAAATCAATGTGCAAAAATCACTAGCATTCTTATACATCAACCACTGTAAAGCAGAGAGCACAATCAAGAACATACTCCCATTCACAATTGCCACAAAAAGAATAAAATACCAAGGAATACAGCTAACCAAGGAAGTGAAAGATCTCTACAAAGAGAACTACAAAACACTTCTCACAGAAATCAGAGATGACATTAACAAATGAAAAAAACATTCATGCTCATGGATAGAAAGAATCAATATTGTTAAAATGGCCATACTGGCCAAAGCAATTTATAGATTCAATGTTATTCCTATTAACCTACTATTGAGATTCTTCACAGAACTAGAAGAAAACATTTTAAAATTCATATGGAACCAAAAAATAGCCTGAATAGCCAAGGCAATCCTAAGCAAAAAGAACAAAGCTGGAGGTATCAGGGTACCCTACTTCAAACCATACTATACAGCTACAGTAACCAAATCAGCATGGTACTGGTACAAAAACAGACATCTATACCAAAAGAACAGAAAAGAAAACCCACAAATAAGTCCACACACATACAACTACCTGATCTTCAACAAACCTGACAAAAACAAGCAATAGGGAAAATTCCCTCTTCAATAAATGGTGCTGGAATAACTGGCTAGCCATATGCAGATTGAAACTGGACTCCTTCCTTTCACCATACACAAAAATTAACTCAATATGGATTAAAAATTTATATGTAAAGCCCCAAACTACAAAAACTCTCTAAGACAACCTAGGCAATATCATTCAGGACATAGGTATGAACAAAGATTTCATGACAAAGAGGCCAAAAGCAATTGCAACAAAAGCAAAAATTGACAAATGGGATCTAATTAAACTAAAGAGCTCCTGCAAAGCAAAAGAAACTACCAATAGGGTAAACTGACAACCTACAGAATGAGATAAAATTTTTGCAAACTATGCATCTCACAAAGGCCTAATATTTAGTATCTATAAGGAACTTAAACAAATTTATCAAAAAGAAAACATTAAAAAGTGGGCAAAGAACATGAACAGATGCTTTTCAAAAGAAGACATACAGGTAGCCAAAAATAATATGAAAAAAAGCTCAACATCACTGATCATTAAAGAAATGCAAATTAAAAGCACAATGAGATACCATCTCACACCAATCAAAATGGCTATTATGAAAAAGTCAAAAATAACAGATGATGGCAAGGTTATGGAGAAAAGGGAACACTTATATACTGTTAGTAGGGGTGTAAATTAGTTCAACCATTGTGGAAGACAGTGTAGCAATTCTTCAAAGACTTAAAGAAAGACATACTATTCAACCCAGTAATCCCATTACTGGGTATATACCCCAAGAGTATAAATTGTCCTATTGTAAAAACACATGCATGTGTATGTTCACTACAGCACAATTCACAATATCAAAGACATGGAATTAACCTAAATGCCCATCAATGCTAGACTGGATAAAGAAAATGTGGTACATATATACCCTAGAATACTATGCAGCCACAAAAAAGAACAAGATCATGTCCCTTGCAAGGACATGGTTGGAGCTGGAGGCCATTATCCTTAGCAGAATAGAAACAGAAAATCAAATACTGCATGTTCTCACTTATAAGTGGCAGTCAAATGATGAGAACACATGGACACATAGATGGAAACACACACTGAGGCCTATTGGAGAGCAGAGGATGGGATGAGGGAGAAGAGCAGAAAAATATCTAATGGGTACTAGGCTTAATACCTGGGTGATGAGATAATCTGTACAACAAACCCCCATGACACACATTTACGTATGTAACAAGCCTAAACATGTATTCCTGAACTTAAAATAAAAATTTAAAAAATCAATAAAAGTGATAAACCTCTAACAAGACTAACAAAAATAATAATAAAGAAAAGACAAATCACAAATGTCAGGAATAACACAAGAGATACTATTACAGATGCTATAGCCATTTGAACAATAAAAGAAAATACAAACAACATTACACTCATAAATTTGACAAGTTAGAAGAAATGACCAATTATTTCCTACAAACTACCAGAAGTCAACCATGATGAAATAGATAATCTGAATATCCCAATAACCGTTAGAGAAATTTAATTTGTAATTTAAGAGCTCCTGTAAAAGAAATCCCCAGACTATAATGATTTTACTAGAGGATTATATCAAACATTTAAACAATTAAAACCAAATTCTACAAATCTCTTCCAAAAGATGAAAAACAAGTGTGTTCCTACATATTTTATGAGGCTAATACTACCCTGATGCCTAAAGCAGATATGATAGTACAACAGCGAAAAAACAAAAACAAAAACAAAACAAAAAAAACCCCTACACCTCAATATTCTCATGAACTCAGAATAGCAATATCCCCCATAACGCCTTAGCAAATACAATCCAACAATGTGTAAAACGTTTTGGTAATCAAGACAGGGTCATAAAGATAGGCACATTGATCAATGGGATAGACTAGAGAACCCAGAAATAGACCCACACAAATATGCCAAAATGATTTATGGCAAAGGTCCAAAAGCAATTCAATGGAGGATGGACTGTCTTTTAAACAAATGGTGATGAGGCAATTGGATACCTATAGGGAAAAAAAAATGAACTTCAACCTAAACTTCACAATGTCTAAAATAATTAATTCAAAATGGATTATAGACTTAAATATAAAATATGAAAATATCAAACTTTAAAAAAATAGGAAAAAATCTTTGGAATATAGGGATAGGCAAAGAATTCTTAGACTTGACACCAAAATCATGATATATAAAAGGAAAAATTGATACACTTAGCCTCATTAAAATGTAAAACTTTAGCTTTGCAAAAAATCCTCAACAGAAAAGGAAAAGCCAAATACAAATTGCAATAAAATGATTGCAAACTATATATCCAATAAGAGACTAGTATCTAGAATATATAAAGAATTCTCAAAACTCAACAGTACAATATAAGCAATCGTCTTAGAAAAACAGGCAAAAGACTTGGACAGACATTTCACTGAAGAGGGTATCCAGATGGCAAATAGGCAAACATGCACATAAAAAACATTCAACACCACTGACCATCAGTGAAGTGCAAATTAAAGCCACAATAAGATATCTCCATGCAATTATTAAATAAAAAATAGTGATATCACAAAATGCAGGTGAGGATGTAGAGGCATTTTCTTATGCATTTCATGGCTGAAGTATAAAATGGTACAGCTACTCTGGAAAACAGTTTGGCTGTAATTTTTTTTTAACACTACACATGTAATTACCATATGACACAGCAATTGCACTCTTGGGCATTTATCCCAGAAAACCTGTACACAAATGCTCATAGTGGCTTTATTCATAACTGCCCTAACTGCAAATAATTCAGATGTTCTTCAGTGGGTGAATGGTTAAACAAATAGTGAGGCATCCATTCTTCGAAATAATACTCAACTATAAAAGAGAGAAACTCTTGACACATGCAACAACTTGGATGGAACCTCTAGAAAATTGTGCCATTTTTTTCTAGAGTTAGAAAAAGCCAATAAAAATTATAATACTGTGTGATTCAACATATATAATATTTTTTAAATGACAAAATTTTAGAAATGTAGAATAGAAAATATTATGGTTATCAGGAGGTAGGAACAAGAAGGGCAGGGAGGTATGAGTTAGGTCCATGTGGTCATAAAAGAGAAAATGGGGAAGGAATCTTCTTGGTAACAAAACTATTCTGTGTGTTGGATGTGGTAGGGGATATATCAGCTCAGACAGGAAAATACTGAATACAACTAAATACACACACACACACACACACACACACACACACACACACACACACACAAATGAAACTGGGAAAATGTGGATCTGAATGAGATCCATAGCTTGTATCAATGTCAGTATCCTTATTGTGTTATTGCATAACAGTATCGCAAGATGTTATCATTGGGGAAACTAAATAAAGGGTATGCTGGATCTCTCTATACTATTTATTAAAACTGCATGTAAATCTATACCAACTCAAAATAAAAATTTAATTATAAAATATTCTGAAAAGGAAGAGAAATTAGATGGTATCAAACTTAGCAAATATTGGAATATACTATAAAATAATAATAACAGCATGGTATGGTATTGGTGCAATAAAGAGAAATGAGCACCAACAAAAAGGAATACATCAACATAATTTATCATATTAACAGGAAAGAGCAAGAATAAAAATTATATAATTATCTTGATAGATGCAAAATAGCCTTTAAATAAATGTAACACTCATTCTTGATAACACTATTAGTAGACTAGGAATTCAAGGGAATTGTCTTAATCTGAAAAAAGAACATCAACCAAAATTATGTAGTAAACATATTAAAGAATAAATTATTATAAATTATCTTCTGATATCAAGAACAAAATAAAGATGTCCACTGTTATTACATCTATTTAACTTGAACTAAAGACCCTAACTAATGCAACAAGACAGGAGAAAGAAATAAAAAAAAAACAATTAGAAATGCAAATATAGAAGTTTTATTAGTCATAGATGACATGATTGTGTATACAGAAAATCTAAAATAATCTAAACTAGCAAATACAGTTAGTTCACTAGAAATAAGTTTGATATGCAAACCCAATTCTATTTCTATATACACACAGTAACAAGTAGAAAAATCAATTTGAAATTTACTACATATAATAATAAATCAATATCCAGGAATAAATCAAACAAAAGTTATTCAAATCTCTACAGTGAAAGCTACAAAACTTTACTGAGAGAAATTGAAGAAGCCATAAATAAATTGAGGGGTATACTATATTCATGAATTAGGTTACTCAATATTGGTAAGACATTAACACTTCCCAAATTGATCAAGAGTCAAGGCAATCTCAGTCAAAATCCCAAATTTTTTTGTGGAAAATAAAAATCTAATTTTAAAATGTATAAGAAAATACAAAGAGTCAAGAATCACCAAGTCTGTCTTGAAAAATAAGTATGAAGCTTGCTCAGGTTTTCCTCCACCTCCTGACTGACCCTGTGGCCCTGTCTAGTGTGCTTCGCATGCCCCTCTGGGGAACTGTAACAACCTATCTTTTCAATGGCAGTCGTCCCCTGATTTGTTGGCCTCTCTATACCTGTATGATAATAAAACTTTCCTTGTAAAACCCAATAATGAATTATCTAAAACTACATACAACAATAATGATGAATCTTACTAACATAATGTTGAGCAAAAGAAGTACGATACAAAAGAGTATGGAACATTTGATATCACTGATATCAAGTTAAAAACAGGAAAAACCTAATTAAGGGCATTAGATATCAAAACTGGTTCCATTTGGTGGGTGTGGTGATGAAAGGGGTGCACAGGGGAGAGCTCTGAGGGTGCTGGTGATGTTCTTTGATGTGAGTGTTGTCTGTATGTACATGTTCACTTTTGAAAATTCACTGTGATTCACGTAAGATTTAGAAATTTTTCTGTATAAGGGTTACACTTCAGTTTATATTAGTAAAACCACTAAGAATTCAGTCACAACTATATTCAGAATAAAACAAGGCATTCCAAAACAAGAAAGAATAAAAATAAAATCTACCACCTCATATAAAAAGTTTTTTAAAATAGCAATAAAATTGGCCAGGTGCAGTAGCTCACACCTATAATCCCAGTACTTTGGGAGACTGAGGGGGCAGATCACTTGAGGCTAGGAGTTTGAAATCAGCGTCACCAGGATGGTGAAACTCCATCTCTACTAAAATCAGCCAGGCATAGTGGCATGTGCCTATAGTCCCAGCTACTCGTGGGCCTGCGGCACAAGAATCACTTGAACACAGGAGGCAGAGGTTGCAGTGAGCCATGATTGTGCCACTGCACTCCAGCCTGGGCAACAGAGTGAGACTGTGTCTCGAAAAGTAATAAATAAATAAGAATAAAACAATTATTATGCAGCAGGCAGACAGAAAAAAAATACAAAACATGATTAAACAAATTAGACCTAGTTCTTTGAAAAAAAATCAATAGAAAAAACTGCTGTCAAGTCTAATCAAAAAATAAAGCAAGACAACACAAATATGTAATAATAGGAATGAAGAGGGAGATATGTCAACAGCTCAGTATTTTTTAAATTGTTTACAAGTACTATATAGAGCTGTAAGTAATGAATTTGAAAATTCCAGTGAACTGCAAGATTTTCAGTGAAGCAGATTGCTAAAAATGATTAAATGAAATGTAGAAACCAGGAAATAAAGTTTCCAAGATACAAAAGTAATATCTCCAAAACCAGCAGCTAGCCCAGAAAATTGTACAGTCAAATTCTTTCCAGCGTTCAAGAGCTCTGCCTATGCAAGTACAAAAGAATGAGCAATTTCTTTCCCATGTTATGAAAAGAGCACAAGCCTAACACAAGCTGAACACAAGCATCTGAGAGAGAAATTCTGCCAATGTTACCTACGCATCTAGCAGGAAACCCTCACCTGCTATAACAAAAAAACAAAATGATATAAAATAACACAGTAAGCCAGGACCAATTTCTAGGAAAGGGCTCTTCACTTACAGAATGGAGACACACAGAAAAGATACTCTTCTTCTACTTACTGCTATCTTTCTGGGTATGACAGTTTGAACTGCCATAGTCATTCTGAAATTATGAGAAAAATTAAGACTATGCCCTGAGAATAGCCAAGTTGAGATATGAAAAAGACCTGGGCCTTTGGGCTCAGCAGGAGTGTCTGAATTGGCCAACCCTGAAGCCTTCCTAGTTGCAGTCCTCTTTAATGTGAAATAGTAAGTCTTCCTTATTGTTTAATCCACTTAAGGTGGACATTCTGTTATCTGAAGCCACCACATTCTGAAAATGTACAAATGTGAATTAAATTAAAGCTCAGAGAAAAAAGAAAAATGATTAATAATTTCTAAAAATCAATGAGGAGATATGCAAATTTATATAGCTTATAATAAAATGTGATATTCAAGTCAATAGGGAAATGAAGGTCTGCTGTATAAATGGTAGTAGAAAGCATTTAGTGGAAAAATGTAAAAGCTAGGCCATCATGTCACAATTTATCCCAAATCCATCCCAGTTAGATGGTAGATTTTGTTGAAAAAAAAAAATCAAGCCACAAAAATAACTGGAAGAAAGTATGAGTAAACAGTATCTACTTTGTGAATTGGGTATAAGTTCCTAAAAAACACAAATATAAGAAAATGCAAATGAATAATCTAATTATTTGACCACATATATTTTTTAATGTCTGTATGTGAAAATATTTTTAAATTCAAAGGCAAACTATTTATTGGAACAAAATATTGAACACAAATAACTATCAATTCCTTTCTGAAAGAGAGGTTATATAAGTTTACAATGTGCAAAGAACCTGAGGTATAATTTACAAAAATGTGAAATACAAATGACCAATAATTATACTTTAAAATGTACAATCTCACAAGAAATGCAAATTTAGTATATCACTTTTTCATCTTGCTGCCAAACTAGCAAAAATGTTTAATATATATCAACCATATTTTTTAGCATGTGATATAACATAGACTTTATATACTACTCATGGATGTGAAAGTTATTAGGCCTTTCTATAATCAATTTGAAAATATGTATCATGTACATCAGGAGCCTAAAAGAATTATTATTCTTGTTCTGGTAATTCTACTTCTTAAAAAATATAGTATGGAAATAAATATAGATATAATTAAAATTGTATGTATTTTAGATGTTTATGACAGCACTATTCTATAATAATGTGGTGAAAATACCTAAATATTCATCAGATAGGAAGATGAAATAAATGATGGCTGCCTGTAAGTTGAGTAATGTATTTCCACTGAAAAAATCATAGTTGTAAAGCATAGTTAAAGAAATGAGGAGATATTCCCAATATAACATTTAGTAGGAAGGTCAGGATATAAAATGTATTACAATAAAGAGCAATTTGATAAATATACATATCATGATCTCTATGTATGAAGGGAGAAGAAACAACAAGAAAATACAACAGAAACATTAACAGTATTTAATTCTTGGTTTAAAGATTGTAGCTGACTTTTACGTTCTTCTTTTCATTTATCTGTGTTTCCTGAACATTCTACCCTTAATGGGTATGTATTGATAAAAACACTACCTAAAATGAAATACTTGATTGCATCTTTTCCTTATTCCTTTACTGGGATGAAGCAGCAGTGTTTGTTTCAGTTCTCGGCTCTGTCAAAAATAGTTCTGCACAAGGGTTCAGAACGGTTGACATTTTACTTTGAAAATACACTGGAAGAATGTTAATCCATGAAGAGACTCAAGTTTATTTCTCTTCTGCGACTCACTGTGCACAGCTGGAAGTCTCTATGGGAGCAGCTTAATAGAGACACTGCACAGTCCTCAGACTAGATCCTCCCAGCCCCACCTCCACCCATATCCCCCTCCTCACTGCTGTGCCCACTTCCCAGGCTCCTAGCACCAACTGCTGGAGCCACCAGGTAAAGGTAGCTTCTACTTCATTACGAGTTAGCCTTTTCAACCTGGCTTCACCTCTTACAACTTCTGAACCCGAGAATTTGGGGCAATTTGTAACACTGCATAGCAGATCTGCACGAGGATGTTAATGATGCACTTTCAAGCTCAGGGAGGACTGGGGTCCTATGGCGTGGCAATCCCTGCACAAAGAGCAGTTATTACTCAGTGAATTATCAGCAGACACAAGGCTCTCCCAGGGATGCAACATCAAGGGGGGCATTTGATTCCCATCCAAAGCCAGCTTTTATGAAGAATCAAAATTGACAGAGAAGTTAGAAGAAGCGTCTTAAACTAGTAAAGGAGAATGAGGCCCTTCCATTTCCCTGGGAAATCGCTGGAACAGGGAGGCTGAGCCAAGGGCAGTGGTGGAAATTTCAATTCAGCAGGCTCCCAGCCAACAGGAAGGGACTGTGATGCCCTAATGCTGGCTGGGGAAGGTTGGAGCAGAAAGTGAGCTGAAGAGGAGACAGGGAGTCACAGAACTGCATCGCCTCAAGTTCAGAAATGATGTTCTGGGTCCTCTGCCAAGCCCCCTCACTCCCAGGAAATCTGCCTTCCAAGCCCAGCACAGCATCATGCTTGCTGGTGCTATGCATCTCCCCAGTCTCTGGGCCTCTGTTTCCTAAACTTAGCTGTGCAGACCCCAATTCCCCACCTATTGCAACCAGCACATGTGCTTCTATGACTGTTTAATACATTTGGGTCCCAGCAAGATCCTGCTTGACCAGACTTTGTAGGGCCAGAGTAAAGCTTGACCCCCTGGACAAAATACTCCTTCAGCCTCTCTTGGTCCTAACTTGATTCTAGAAAGGAGAAGAAAACAGCTGTGTTGTCTCACACCACATCAGGGTCTCCCTCATCCAGGATGCAAGGCATAAAACAAAGCCACAGGCTGCCCAGATGCTCCTGTCTACCTCCCCCACCCTCCTGCCCAAGGACAGCTGCTGCCCTCCACTGAGCCACTGAATCGGGTGGATGCCACCCACGGAAAATGAGGTTCAAAGGGCCTGCGAGCAGTTGGCAATTCTCCCAGGGTTTTCCTGCACAAGGGACCCGGAGATAGTGGAAGAGAATGAGTTGCCTACACCAGTGCCATTAGGATGGAGAAAGGCGAACAGCTTCAGCAATCAGGTCATGGAGAAATGTTTCCTCTGGGCTATAACTAGTGCTCCTATCCAGGCAAGTCATGCTTGTGGAGGAAAAAAAAGACAACCATGTTTTTCTTCTTGCAATGATTACACCAACACCAAAACAGCCCTGAAAATAAAATCTTATCAGAGGTGAAGTTCCACAGATCCCTCTCAGCCCTTGGTCTTTATATGGAGTGGACATCTGCTGCCAGGCATAGAAGGGGAGTTTGGCACTGCCCTGGCACACAGGGCTGAGTGATCCCAGCTGCACCAGCTCAAGGCTGCAAGAGGGAGCCTCCCATCTCTGGCCTTGGCTTTGGAGCTATAGTCTAGGGCACTGTCAGGCTGGAGGCTGTGTTTTAGGCCTTCCTGTGCCTCTCTGCTCTTGTGGAGTCTGAGATAGATACGCTCAGAGAAAACACACAGTCCCATTTGCCCAAAGCTGATGCCCTGTGCCATATGAGCATGCTCTCACTGCCAAGTGCTGCACAGTGTCATTACACTGACTGACCCCTCCATCCAACAATTAGGCTCATATTACCTGTAACTTTCCTCTGAAGAAACAAAGGTTCAGAAAAGGGAAGTTGTGCAAAAACTCAGGAGAGGCAGAGCCAGGAGCAAAGCAAAGGCCCAGGTCAATGAGACAACATACGTACAATGCACTTTTGGATACTGTGGATGCTTAACAGTTCCTGCCCGCTCCCTACACCCAGCAGCTTCCCACACACACCACCTTTGGAAACTTAACTACAGGTGGCCCTGACAGATCTGTCAGAGCTCAATCATGAGCTAAGGACATTTACATGGACACGTTCATGGAATCCTCTTTTGGAGATTCCTGTCTGAACAAAGAGAAACAAAGCCAAGTAGAAATTTGTGGAGGTCCTGTTACAGTTCTGAGCCCTGAAAAAAACATGACACCAACAGGATAAAAGAAGCATATACCACCCCCCACCCCCAAGACAAATGTCAGGCCAATGCCTGTGAGAGCTGGAAGAGTTTCCAGCAAACCTTTCCCCTGGTGGCAGACCCATGCCAGACAGCTCCAAGTACAAAACAGACAATTAATATTTTGCTTGTAGTTACACAGCAAGCTGATGATATAGACCTTTGATTTTTCCATACAAAGCTCACTCACTAAAAACGCACTTCCTGGATGAGATAATTGAATTAGTATTTGTCCAGCACCCTGCAGTTGAAAGGCGATCACCCACTCCTTCCCTCCAATGAAGGGGCTGAGTAATCTACAGTCTCTTGATGCCACTTAATCTAAAATGTCTGGGTGACTCACCATCCCTGAGATTTCCCTCCAGGGTATTTAAGAAAATATCTTGCTACTTAATTTAAATGATTCCTCTTGGTTTAAGTCTGAAAGAAACTGTTTTGTCTGTGTCTGGTTTTGTTCATATATGACATATATAATCTTTGCAGGGAATGCTGCCCCTGCCCAGCATCACAGGATCTAGGAGTCTGCCCAGTCGGCTCCTCTAGCAGCTGTGTACCTTGCATGGCCAAGAGAGCTGCGACTCCTTGGACTCTGACCTTGGGCACTCCTTAGATGACTGATCTTGGCACTGTTTTGGTGTGGCTCAGGACCCTACCCTCAAATTTGCCACCCATCCTCAATTTTTTTCTCCCTTATGTGAATGTCCTTTATTTTTAAGTTACCCCGATTTCCCAGCCCCACCCTTCACAGCCCCGTCTCCCACCCGAAACTACCACTCAGCTCTGCCTCCAAATGCTGCCCTACCCCCATGATACGGTCCTAATCCCTTCTCCTTGGTTCATCTGAAACTCCCTGGACTTGCTTTAATGCACCCTAGGCCTGAATCACAAACATTTGCTACAGTAAATCCCACTCCCTGCTTTCCAGATAACTTCCCCTTAGCAGCGATAAGCTGCTAGGCAGACAGATAACAACCAGGATATGCAGTTATTAAGGGCAGATTTTAAAATGACAAAAAGATACATTTTAAAATAAAGCCGACTTGAAAATCAGCTTCCCTTCCAACTCAATTACATTCAGGCCTCCTGCTCAAAGCTTCTTATATTGAGAGATGCCAGCTCCCACTGGCTTCAGGGTTTTTGAGGCGCATTGCCTTGGCAACGTGGAAGGTCCAGACACCTGAAACAGGAAGTGGAGGACATAGTGCCTCCCCCTCTCTCAGGCACCTGAGGTGGCCAGCCTGGCGCCAGGCACAGGACTGGAGGGTCAGCTGCTTGAGACAAGGCAGGGACCTCCACAGCCAGCATTCCCACCAAAAGAAGTAGGTGGGAGACGGAAGGAGCTGGCAGGCAGGACCTAACTTCAAAATAAGACTTGGGGATGAAGGCAAGTGCGCCAGGACCGTGGTCGATGTGAACAGTTATTTTGGCAGCCAGCTACACTTGGCAAGCTTTTTCACACCAGAGTGATTGAAAGAGCCCTCCTTACCTGGTGGGAGTCCCAATGCAAGCCCATATCTCTTGTGGTCATGACCCAGACCAATGCTGACCACTCATGCCCATCCCCTCACCAAGTCTCACAGCTTTGGGCATTCCTAACAGACATCATAGGCCAGCCCTGGCTTCCTGGACATTGCAGGTCACACCCTGGCCCTACATGGGAAGTCACAGAATAGTTGCTAGCCGACTCCCTCTAGGATGCCACCAACAAACCTCTGAGCTCCAAAATGCCATCAAGCCATGTATGTCAGATATTGTGTCACAACAAATTATTGAAACTTCAATTATTTATATGACCAATCCATGACTCTCTCCTCCATCAGAGTGGGCTAAAAATCCCCCGCACCATCCCCCACATCACACATGGACCCAGGCCATCCCAGTCTCTCCCTGGGGAGCTTGTCTTCTGCCCCATCTGTCACTGATGAGCTCTACACGGCTCCCTCCCTGTTCCCCAGCTCTCACACCCTCCACCAGTCCACACATGCATCTTTCTACCCTGGCCCTCAGGAGCAAAACCAAAGAATTCCCCCACCCAGATTCTCAGTACCCCAACATCATTTAGCCCTTGCCTCTCCCTCCACTGCTTCTAGCCAATGGTGACATCAGGCTAGAGGGCTCTTTGCTGAGGGCTTATCCAGCCCCTGCTGAGAGCTTATTACTTGCGAGGACTGTCCTTCATGCTCCAGGCACCATCATTAGTAGAGACATCTTCCTTCGAAGTGTGTGAAGTGTGTACGTGTGTGTGTGTGAGCATGTCTGTGAATACATGAGGCTGTGCCTGAGTACATGCCAATCAGTCAATGCTTTCATTATTTCCGGAGAAGACCAAGCCACTGTGGCCCATCTACACCATGAGTAGTCCCATCTCTGGCCTCTCCTGTACAGGCTATTTCTGGAAGTGCATCCAAGCCAGTAGAGTTGGGCTGGCCCAGGACAGCCAGCCACTGACCACACCAGGATACCCACCATCAGCTCCACATTGGCTCACAGTGACCACATCCAAGGTCCTTCACTTGGATAATTGTTCTAAGCCCTTACTTGCCATGTCGGCCTCTTTGTCCTAGCCCTGTTAGACTCTTTGTGTCATGAGTCCACTTAACTTTGGGGATCCCCACCCTGGATAAAAGGCCACTCTCCACTATCCACAGTCCTGAAAACTGTTCTCTATCACCCATAAGAGGTGGAAGAAGAGGAAAAGTATCACTGGGAAGACCCAGGCTGCCACCTGCACCAGCACCAGCACCAAATAAAAAAGCCAAACCTCAGTCTGAGTTGTTCAACTCCTCTGTCTCTCATTTATCTTTCCGCTGGCCTCTGGCATTTTCCAATTTCCACCCTCCTTGCAGCTCCATTTTCTGTTTGTGGCCTTGTCTCACTCCTGGATCTGGAGGACACTCAGGCTGTAACCTCTGCCTCCTGCCTCAACCACAATTCACACTTGTCCCTGTGGTCGGGCTGATTTCACTGCTCTGAGAAAACACATTGTCCTTTATAGCCTCCATGCAGCCCCCTGATCCAAGCAGTAGGACCCAGTTGTTACCAGGTACCCCTGCTCTACTCAAAGAGACTCCATTAGAGGCAATTTCTGTTTGGAAACCTCTCTGCACCTACTCCCTAGCATGCCCTATAAACACCAGCCAATGGTAGCATCAGCAGAGAGAGACTAGGAGGGAGGATATCTGTGCTAGTTAACAGTTGCTGGGAGCTCAGGGACCCTGTAGCTGTTGCTGTCTTTGGTGGCACCATAGCAGGAAGATTGGAAGACAGGGAGCCTGAGGCTTACCTTGCGCATGTCTTTGCCAAAAGTCTCACTATAGGTAGTGCCAAGGATTTCAAACTGGACATAGGGATTCGAACTGTCCTCCCGAAACTCCATCACCCCAGTGAGGCCAGTGATGTGGCCCTGCAGAAGAGGAGAAAAACCCATTGGAAAATCTGGTTAAGGTAGAGGATGGAGTCCCAAAGGCTAAGAGGAGCAAGGAAGTGGTCACCAAGAACGGAGCAATCAGTTTTGAGACCATGGACAGGCTGTAATGAGGACAAGATGGGCTAGTGGTCCTAGGCCCTCAGAGCAGGATCAGTACTTTCTAGGATATTTGCTTATGGGAGAAATCCCTAAGGCTTGCACCTGTCATTCATACCATCTATATGCTTAGAGTCCCTGCTATGTGCCAGGCACCATGCTAGCCATGAGATTAAACATTGGTAGCTTTTGTTCCTGCCCTCTTGAAGCTTAGTCCTCCCCTTGCAATCAGTTCCAGGGGCTCACCTTAGCCTAACCCAAGAGAAAATTCAAAGGTCAACAGGAGACATATCAGACACATGATGGTAAGTTGCAGGGCAGCAAACATGTGCATTGGAGGGCACAGCAAGATCCCTAGCTTGGATCCTGGCTTTGCCACCTGTGCCACCTTGGGCACATTGCCCATCTCCCAGCTTTGGCCTGAAGTTAATTAACTCCACATCATAGAACCCACAAAGACTAAAGGAGAAAATATGTACAAAGCACAGCATCCAGCATAGACTGGCTGTGGTCTCCATGCCTCTCTCTACTGGCTCAGTGGGCTTCATAGGAGAAGGAGGCAGCAGGAGGCTGAGGGAGCCGTGGTGAGCCCCTTTCTCTCTCCAAGCCCAGGGTGAGATTCTCATCAAGATTTATCTCTCATAGTCCCTGTGACCCTACAGAGTCCCAGAAACACCTGGCCCAGAAGGGGCCCTGGCTCTGCCCTGGGCTGTAGTAGATTCTCACCTACACTAAAGCATGTTCCCTGCTACTGAAACCACATGCAATTCATTGTGACTAAATTCCTAACGCTATGGATTTCCCTAAATGCTCTTTTGAAGCCTCTAAAAGTGAATTCACTCTAACAAATCATCCATAGATTACTCAATTCACTTCAAATCCAGCTTTCTAATTCAGTATCCCTCCTCAGCACATGAGATACATCACAAGCGCACATACAGGTGCACTCGTTTCTTGGGGAGTGGTGTTCTGCATAGAGGGGTACCTTGCAGACACGGGATAGGCAGCTGCCTCCATTTCATACCTACTTGCAGCCAAGGGCAAGTTGCTTAACCTCTCAGAAGTTCTTATATTAAATTGAAGACAGTAATGATAGTATGTATTCATGGACCACAGCTCACCTGGCCTGCAGATGCTGGGACAGGAAGAGTGACAAGGAGAGAGGAATGGGGAGGGGCCTACTGGGGCAGCCACACAGAGCCTAGCTTCAGGCCAGCTACTAGAGGGGAACACAGTGGAGGTATAAGAAGGGGCCTGTCTTTGGCCAGGTTGGGGGTGCCCCCTCACACGTACCTTTTTGATGGTATCCAGCATGGACCTCCCACCATTCCATGGCTTAGTGGATTTCCGTATGCAGTTGAGGCTCGCCATGCTATGCCACTTCCGGTCCTCCAGCTTCCTGTGAAAGGCGTTGGCCAGCATCAGAACACTGTCATACAGATAGAGGTTGGAGATCTGCAAAGACAGAGGCAGTGAAACCCTTTCCACAGGTGCATTTCTAGAGAGCTTTGGAGAAACCCACAGAAAGGAGGAGGAATGCAGGATGCCAACATTAAGCTGTGGTGCCCAGTATCTATGCCAAGATCCTCGGCTTTTAGGTGTACTTTCAAAAACCCAGCCAGCTTCTAGAGTCCTGAATGGAATAAGACCTTGCCCTGCCTCAGGAACTAGAGTGGGATGTGCATGTGTACATCAACAAGGAGAACCCTTATCTGTAGCTGATTGAGATGTGCACACAGGTAAGTTACCTACTCAGGTAAGGGAGGATGGAGGGAAGGATAAGCAGAAAGCTCAGCGTTGAAGGATTAGTAGGATAAAGGGAGGGCACAGCATTTGCAAGGGCATGAAGGTGTCAAGAGACAGGGCCAGGTACAGCACAGTCCACCAGAGTTTTTTGTAAAGGACCAGCTCATAAAGATTTTGGGCTTAGTAGTCTCTTTTGCAACTGCTCAACCCTACTGTTATAACTTGAAAGCAGCCATAGACAATATATAAACATATGGGTGCTGCCATGTGCAATAAAACATTATTTTCCAAAAGAGGCAATATACTGGATTTGCTCTATTGGCCACCGCTGGCGGATCCTTGGGTTAAAGGAACTGAAAGCAGTTCAAGACGACTGTGTCAATGGGTACAATACAGAGGGAGCAGGATCAAGAGAGAAGCAGGGATTGAGCCCTGCAAAGACTTAGGGACTTACTAAGGAGGACTAGCAACAGAGGTGACTGTAGGGAGAAGGACGCCTTTGTTGGGTCAGTGTACAGGAAGCTGGAGATCAGATCTGGGCCTCAGAAAGACCACTCTGGTCGCCGGACACGCCTAGGGTGAATGGTGGCCTGAGTGACGAGGTAACAGTGAGGACGGTGGTAACAAGAGATGAGGATTCTGGTGCCTGCTCTGCAGTGGAGTCACTGCCACCCAGGGAACACATTTGGGATTTGCAACTGTGCCCATCTGAGGACCACCCTTCTGCTTAGTTGTCTGATGTGAGCTCAGTGGTAGAGGAGACACATCCCTGTCTCAGTGCTCTGGAGGGCAAGGCCATGACTGAGAATCTAGGGTAGAAGTGTGAAGAACGACACTACAGCATTGGGGCCCAACCCATGTGTGGGGTCCAGGGTGGGCAGGCCAGGCTCAGCCTCCTGAGTGTGGCTATAGACCCCGATCTGGATGTGGAGGAGCTAGAAAATGGCACCCACCCTCCCAGGGGCCCAGCGGGAGCCCAATGGGGGAGAAGGACAGCTCTGTTCTCGGATGTCACCTTCACACCACCCCAGCCCTCCATGGGGACATTGGAGCACAAAGGAGAAGAGGAGGAGAAGGGAAGGCGGTGAGGGCGAGGTAGCGTCCACCCTCAGTCAGGTTTGTGGCCCCCCACTGATAACTGTTGCACAAACAACCCTCAGCCAAAGTGGGTCAAGGGGACCATTCTCTGAACGCCTAAGCAGCAAGTCGTCTGCTAAAAATATTTTAGAAAAACAAAATCACCAGATAAAAATAGGAGATCATGTCAGCCTCACAGGACTCCTGGGAAGATCAAATAGGCTCCTTGGGCTGCAAAAAGAACCCCTCCTCCCCCAGCCTCACCCCTACTCTCCTCAATATGTCCCTGTACCACAACACCTCTGTGCCTTGTTCTCTGCCTGCAATTTACTTCCTCATGTTTCTTAGTCCAGGTGCTCCAAAAGCAGAACCTTAGATCAGAAGTTAGGTGGCGCGAACTCTCCAGCAACTGAAGCTGAAGTCTGAGATGAGCCAATAGGAGGTGCAAGGCATCACAAACATCTGCCCCGTCATGCCTGTCCAGCCCTCAAGGGCCATTCCCAGCATGTCACATCCAGGCAGAGCTGACTGCCTCCCCTGTAGGTATCCTTGTGCACAGACCATTGCTGAAGAGCTCTGTCCTGTCTGCCACTGTCCTGTCCCCCAGCTCTGACCATTGTGGGCTGTATGCCTAGGGCCTCTGCATTCTGTAGGTGTAACAGGTAGGTGGAGGATGGCCAGATGTTGCAGAGGTGTCAAGAGTGTGCTAAAGCAAGAGCCTTGAGCTGAGGGGGAGTAGAAGGTCAGTGCCTGGTCTGACCTTCTTCAGGGGCCTGCAGCACACAAGAGCTTACTTGACAGCAGAGGGAAAACTAAGTACCACCACCCACTGGGAGCTCACCCCCTCACTGCACAGGGAACACCATGACAGAACTGTGCCCTCAGCCACTTGAGGCCTAGAGGAGCATTTCCTCAATGAGCAGGACTAATTCACTCTTTGTTGCTGTCAACTCCCCAGCCCTCAGGAGCCCCCACCACTGCATGTGTTGATAAGTCTTCCTCCCCTCTGGAAAACAAACCCATGATGGAGATGTTGTTATAAGGAATACAAGCCATTTAGAATTGGTTTGTTGTTTTTTTCTTTCTTTTCCCAAGAGAATAACTTGAAGCTGAGAATCCTTAACGATGGGAAGATTTCTCTTCTCAAGACATTCATGGGTCTACCAGCCACCAACTGATAGCTGATGCTATTTAACCAGCCAGGTCTCTTTGACCCCTACTCCCACCCATCCACACACTCACACATCAGGGCAGAGTCCACAGCACCAGCGCATCTGTGGCTCTGACCAGAACCCAGTGGAATCTCCCTTTCACTTCAGCACTTCTATTCACAATCAATTAAGGTACTCAACAAATGTATGAATGCAGAGAGGTCTTGAACAAAGAGGAAAAAGCAGGACATGACTCAGAAAGGCCAAAGGAAGCCCTCAGTCTTCCCACAAGTATGTCTGCTTGGAAGGGTGAATACATCCCAGTTCATGGGAACAGGCTTGAGCAATGCTCTTTTCCAGGCATAGATAGGCAGGCCTTCCCAATGCCCACATATCACCCTAGATGTACCCCTCTTCCATTATATATGTTGCCAGCTCATGAATGTGTTTATCTCAGCAAACTTTGAGCTCTTTAAGTACTATCTCTAGAACTCAGCACCAATCAAAGCACATAGCTGGTGCTTAATGTATGTTTCATGGCCGAACACATGGTAGACACATGTATGCACAAATGGAAGGATAGATGAGTGTGTAGATGTATAGGTAAATGGATGGATGGATGAAGTAATGGATGGAGGGATGGATGGATGGATGGATGGGTGGATGGAGTGATGAAGTGATGGATGGATGGATGGATGGATGGACGGATGGATGGATGGATGGATGCATGGAGTGATTGATGGATGGATGGATTTTCTCAGAAGGCATACACTAACCATGTTTTACAAAAAAGAGAAATTATAGAAAATGGATAGCAGATAAAAGAGATTTTATCCCTCCAACTTTGACTTTGGACAGAGCCTCCTTTGTTCAAACAGCAATTTGTTCTTGTCTAAAACCTCCTCAAAACATCTTCTTGATCTTCCCATGGAGCTGTTTCCATCTACTCCACTTACTCCTAACTCTTCCCTGGTAAGATATTGTCTCTCCCTGCCTTGGGCATAATCTAACACTGCAGTAATAATCTGTGGCTCCCCCATCTTCTCTCCAACCTCAGCATCCTCACTGAGACGACCTACTTTGTGCAAACTGACTTTAGCTGACAGTTCACTGGTGGGGATGCGGAGGGTAGGAAAGGCCCTAACCTCACAACCTATTCAGAGAAGGGATTCTTGGATGAAAAAAATCACAAGTAGATGGTAGAAAGGCAGTTTATGCTTGGGGCCCTCTCCAGAGCCTGATAAACATAAAAGAAGCCTTTCCTCAGGGAAGATGGCTGGATATCAGTGTCAGGGTTGGTCATGCCAAGCCCCTGAGAAGGAAGTCTGGAAGGAGAGAGGCTCCCAGATGCATGGATGCTCACTCGTCATTGACCACCAGGGGCCAACAGCCCAGGCTGGAGTCACAGGCCACAGGTGCAGAGAATGAGGCCCGGCTTGGAGAAGTCCTTGCCTCCCTCCCTCATATTGTAGGTTATGCACAGTACAGAGTCCATTAGCAAAGGTAAGGCAAGCAAGCAGATGCTGTCACTATTTAAACACTCATCCCCATGCAAGCAGGAGCCCAGGGCTCTGGGTGACCTAGGAACACTGCAGCATAAAATTCCAGGAACCAAAAAAGCATTCCAGGTAAGAGTAAATTTGAGAAGCAAAAGAGAGGTCAGAGTGTCAAGGCCATGGGCATGGCAGAGGAGAGACCTGGCTGCAAAGCAAAATACCTGGAGCCAGGTCAGAGATGCTAGAGGGAGTGAAGTCAAGGCCAGACAGAAGCCAGGAAAAGGGCTTGAGGCCTTCCTGGCAGCTCATGGGCTCTATTGTAAGTGAGGAGAGAGCTGGAAGAGGGACTGGATGGTTTCATTTAGCCACTCCAGAGATTTTCGGCAAGTTTCTCTCACTAATTACCATACAGTACGACTCTCACACTAGGGTTGCAGCTTAGGCAAGTGGTCTAATAGGAACAGCAACAGCTTTGGATTCATTCCAGCCTGGACCAGCTTTGCTCACTGCTGGACCCCAGGTCTCCACAGTAGTGCGTGGATACAGCAAGCACTCAATAAATGTTGATGGAACGAGTGAAGTAGATCTCCACTAGCATCCATTTGCTGAGTGATGTTGAACAAGCTGTTGAACACTCTGAGACTTATCTTGATAACAATAAAATACAGTGTGATCTGGGCCCCTGGAGAGGTACAATGTGGCAGCCCTGATTTACCCACCTGTGGAATGCAGATGGTAATACCCCTGTGTGCCAAGTACTATTCTAAGATCTTTGCATGCATCTTCATCTTTAGAGGGAGCAGAGACAGAAATGAATAGAAGAGGCAAATAAAATATCTATGCAGCTTCCAGATTTCAATATGTATGAGCTGAGAGCTCCTCCAGGGATGTCCCCAGAAGCTGGGGTCAGCACCAGTCTGGATGCAGAACATGAGGACTACTGTGAAAATGCATTTGTATCCTCCAACACCACTCGTTCTCTCCCACAAAGCCCCTTGGGTCCCTAAAGCCTTCCAAAGGCACAAAGGGATCATGTCTGACTCCTATAGCTTGAGGGTCAGAGATCAAGCAAGAATCAGCACTGAATATTAATTCCCAGTCCCACCTGAAATCTGCTCACCTGAGCACCCGTGTACATGTCCCTGGCCTCCTCCAGGCCCCAGCAGCACAGCCACAGCTGCCACAGCCCCCAGGGTCTGAGCCACACCTTTCAGGGCTACATGATCTGAGGTGTTGCAGGGCTGCCCTTTAAGGGAAAGGCCACTTCTCTGCCCCTAGGATGTTTCATAAAAGGTACAAACACAGGAAGGCTCAGAGAGTGTGTGTTGTGTGGTGGAGGGTGGAGGGGGAAGCTTTATAATACCCTGACTCTGGTTCCTGAGAGGGAGACAGTGTGGCCTGCTGCAGTCAAAGGCCAGACATTCACATAGCAAGGCTGGCTCAGCCACGGGAGCCTTTGGCACAGTGGATTCTGCAATGAGATCAGCGAGGTGTGCAGGGGAGGTGGGGAAGGCAGGCAGGGTATGGCTGGAACAAAGGCCAGCTGCAGTCCAGCATCCATGGAAGGCATGTGCTCTGCACTCCACCCTCTGACCAGCTCAGGGGTTTCAGTCCTGGAGAAGCTTCCAGATGAGGACTCAATTGAGTGAGGACTCAATGGTCACCTCCCATTTTGGGGGTGGAGTTCAGGTGCCCTTATTTTTACCTAGGGAGATGGTAACCACTGGTTAACCTGTCTCCAGCCTCAGATCCTCCCTTTCCACACTGCACAGAGTTGCCTTTCTCAGATACACGTCTTCCACATCACATCACCAAGGGCAGAGCCCCAGTTGCTGTTGTCCCCTCCAAGTTACTTCCCAACTTCTTGCCTCTCACCCCTTGCCCCAGGCACAGTGAACTCTTCCCCTGCTCTCTCAGGCCTCTGAGCCTGTGCACATGCCAGTTTCCCTAATCAGGACCTGCTACAACATGGAAATTAAAATTCCTAATTTTGAGAGGTTTATAAGAATTAGGAAGGAACATTTATGAAAGGTCTAACATAAGAAGAAATGCATAACAAATGCATAAATGGGTATTTATGCAATTACTGAAAGTTGAATAACAGTTTTAAACATGTTCTTAGAAACATAAAGTTAAAGAGATGTCAAGGCATTTGCAAAAAAGATGCCTCTTCTTAGAAGACAAGTGGTGGTGGATAGAGGCTGCTGGGGAAAGAGATGGGAGCTCTGTGTGAATAAATGTAGAATTGGCCATCTCCCACCAGAATCCCAGGCTATGCATTTCCCTGAGATAGCAGGATCCTGGCAAGGTATAAATTTCCAACATCAGTTGCCCATGCAGGAGGTGGGTCCTCAGAAAGATAATGGGAAAGGTAGGAGGCGTCTCTGGGAAGCAGGAGAGAACTCAGCCGTGAGCTCTTGTTGGGGGCTTGCAGCTCTTGAGAGACCCAGATGGACACTCTCGGCTGCTGGATAATTAGAGATGAGTCACAAGAAGTTGACTGAGGACCAGGGATGGAAAAATAGATTTTTTAAAAAGTTATTACCAGAATTTCTATTACATCAGTGACTATATTTTATTTAGGAAAATACCTTGTGGCAGCAGGAGCAAAGGCCACCAGTGAGACTTTAAATTGATCTTCATGAGAAAATAAGGAACCAAGACCCAGAGGGAGGAAATGGAGGGAGGGCAGGGAAGCAAGCAAGATGAGGAGATAATGGAGCACTGGGGGCAGGGAAGCAGTGCTCAGAAACACTGCACATTCCCCAGCGGGGAGGGGCTTCAAAGGCTGAATCCTGCTTGAGCAGCTACAATGCAAATGCCCCACCCAACTCCCCATCGCGTACAACACCGGCTCTGGGCTCTGAGGCTCCTGAGGAGACGCGAAGGCTGCCTTAGTCCACTCAGGTCACTGTAACAAAAAAACACAGACTGGGTGGCTTATAAGCAACAAAAATTTAACTTCTCACCGTTCTGAAGCCTGGCAAGTACAAGATCAAGGTGCCTACAGATTCTGTGTCTGGTGAGGACGTGCTTTTTGGCTCATAAGTGGTGCTTTCTCATCTTGCCCTGGCAGAGTGGAAGAGGAGAAGTCTGGTCTCTTCAGCTCCTTATATGGGCACGAATCCCATTTATGAGGGCTCCCCCCCTCATCACCTCCCAAAGGTCCCACCTCCTAATACTGTCACCTTGGGGATTAGGTTTCGACATGGAAATTTTGGAGGGATACAAACATCCAGACCATAGTGGATGTCTTGTGCAGAAGGGAATTTGTTGTCTTGTTGAAACCAGGAAGGCACTGACTTTCCACCTGGGCAAGCACTGGGCAGGGTAGAGGCAGGCACATTGGAAGCCCAGGTGTTCTGGTCAGTTATTGAGTCCCTGGGAGCAGGATCAGGACCAGAGATAATAAGCATATAAACCCCCCATGAAGTGTGTTGAGCTCCTCAGGAGTGCTGCAGGCTGCCAGGTCGATCCAGCTAAGACCTCTGCCCCTATCAGTGGGGGAGAGGCCCCTGGAGGACAGGAGGGTGTGCCTGCCGGGTGGCCAGGCTATCTGCCTTCCTGGCAGCAGCACATGCCTTCTCTGTAGTAAGTCTGAGACTTCAGTCACGTTTTATTAGGGTATTCCAGCCTAGTATTTGTTATGCTCTGGGGCCCAGGGAATTGTTGTGCATCCGCATTATCAAGGTAAAAATCATTCTTGGAGGAGAAGGAAGATGAATCACAGGCCAGGGTCAGAACCAGACCATTATCCTCCCAACACCAAAGCTGGAAGTGTGGAAAATGTTTTCATTAAGAAAGGCTGCATTTCCTCCAGGCTTCTGAAGAACCCAGCTTTCTCTTCCCTCTGTCATTAATCAAGCAAAGTGGACAGTTCAGTGAGACATCACAGAGGCAAACAGTAGGAACTGACCTCTGACCAAATCCTCAGACAGGTTGTGGTTGGCCGGCAAAGTTAGACAAGCAGCTGACAGAGGGATCAGCGGGGAGGACAAGTTGACACCCAGATGTCACAGCTTGAGAAATCCATGCCAGGTGTAGTCTCTGCCAAACTGCTGCCAGTCCAGCTGTCCTGGGAGAGGGCACCACAGCCAAGCCTCAGGAGGAAGCAGATGGTAAGAGAGGGCACAGTGGATGCAGGGAGCTCCACTCACTGCTGAATCTGAGGCGACGGTGTGAAAGTGAAGAGGGCTATCTGTCCACACCCAAGGCTTCCTGGGCTCCAAATGCACACATGGCTGCCTGCAGCCAGAATAGCAGCCAGTTGCAGCCAAGGAGAACACTTGCGCAATTGTCTCCGACAAAGCCTTCCCCACTCTCCATGTTAAATGCTCCCATATGGGTTTTTAGGGCTAAGTAAACCATTGAAAGTGACATGAAATCCAAGGTAGCTGGTATGGGGAGGCTCAGTGAAGCTCCAGAGGACAAGCTTCTACCAACAGGTTGACAAAAACCTTTTAGCCATGGAAGAGTACAGAAAACCCTAAAAAATAGGGATGTTAGAGGGAGAGGGGTTGAAATCCTCTAATAGAGTGTGTGCAGCACAGAGGAGGAATGATTCAATCAAGCCATTCGACAATTTTAAAATGCACAAAGAAGAGAAATTTCAACCTGA
Source organism: Homo sapiens (assembly GCF_000001405.40). Taxonomy (NCBI): domain Eukaryota; kingdom Metazoa; phylum Chordata; class Mammalia; order Primates; family Hominidae; genus Homo; species Homo sapiens. The sequence goes on from NC_000010.11 coordinate 85,864,824, forward strand.
GGGAGCATTTTATGGTAATACCACATTAGCCCCCAAAGCTTAATTCAGGGATCCGGCTCCACAGTGACCACACAACACAGTTTACATCATTTGCCTGTCACCCCTTAGAAACACATTTGAATATAAATGGGGGGATGGCTATGTGACAATACGCCTCTTACTTCAATTGCAGCCCTGATGTCACAGGGCAGTACAGTTCCAGAGACAGAGTACGTTACAGATTCTCCTCTGAGCAAAGATGTCTGTGAAATCTTAGCAAAGTCTCAGGGTTCTGAGGGACTGGTTATCACTTTTATTACTGGCTGAGTCAGACAAGTCCTAAACTAACTTGTCAAGGAAACAAGAATCAAAAACACACAAATAAGACAGTGCTTTGTGGGGAAAAATAAACAACAGTGCTGCATGCTGGCAAATGCAAAGCTTTTGGAGCACTAGGGGTCACATATTTAGGTATTTTTCTTCCCAGGGACTTTCCTTCTGCTAAATAGGAACCAAACTGATTTGCTATAATAGTTCTTGGTTGGCTTTAGAGCACAGAAAGCCCTGACCACAAGCCTCATAGAGGATGACAGAGTTTCTGAGGCCAGCTCAATAGAGAAGCTAAGGGATGGATACTCTTGCAAAAATTCCCTGTTCTTCTTGGTCCTCCCAGAAACTTCTAAACCAGAATGATCTTCCCAAGAGCAGCCATTTGGTGGGGGGGAAGAAAGATGGACTGGAGAGCTCCATTTCCAAAAGGATCTTCACTAATTTCATCAAGACAAAGTTAATAATCCATGACATAATTTTTTTTTTCCTTGAGTTGTTCTAAACATGTTAGAGTCTTCTCGATAAATCTCACAGCTAGAGGCTAGTAGAAATTAGTTTGCCTTCCACACTGTCATTAAGAAAGAAAGAAGTGGTAATAGCTATGGAGGAAACTGGAAGGGAATGGCTTGTAAATGAGATGAATCTACCAGCTGCCCAAGTAGTTGTTGGGCAGGATGAATACATAAATCCACATTTTCCTCTCATGATACCGCCTTGCAAGGAAGCAGATGCAACAAATGGAGACAGAGATTCCTTTAATAAAGTGTTTTACATATATACATATATATATATATATATATATATATATATACACATATATATGGAGAGAGAGAGAGAGAGAGAGAGAGAGAGAGAGAGAGAGAGAGGCATCTAGGGTCAGTTTAACTTGTACTGAGACCTGCATTCTTAATAGATTCATCCTTTAATTCCTTATCAAGGGTCTTCAATGAGCAGGGTCTTGTGGCCTTGTATAAAGAACTACATGAGCCTAAAATACAAAGCCTCTCATCTCCCAAGCAAGGAAGCTATGATTGAGTACCCATGGGAGAGATGTGGACAGTAAGTGGTACACAAAGCCTGTGATAAGGGGCTGGAAAGATAGAAACTGCCCTCCCACCTGCAGTGATGCCTTTAAAAAGCATGCTTGGAGATAGGTAGACTAAATCACACCAAAAAAAAAAAAAAAAAAAAGGCTATGTTCACCCTTTCCATGGAAACCCTGAATGTACCTGTCCACCTCCACAGTAATGATGATAATAGGTTAAGTATCCCATATCTGAAATGCTTAGGACAAGAAGTGTTTTTATTTGGGATTTTTTTTTTTCAGATTTTGAAATATTTGCATTATATTCCAATTCCAGTTGAGCATCCTTAATCCAAAAATGCAAAATCTGAAATACCCCAATGGGCACTTTTTTTAGTGTCATTTTGGCACTCAAAAATTTCAGATTTCAGAGTACTTCAGATTTCGGATTTTCATATTAGAGATACTCAACTGTACTGCTAATAGCCAGCTCTGAACTGAATGCTTTCCGTATGTTCTCCGATTTAATTTTAATTATGACTCTGGGGGATAATATTCTAACCCCCAATTTAGAGAGGAGGGAACTGAGGCGCAGAATGATAAACAAATAATAATAATGAAATAATTGGCTAGTAACTAGAGTTATCAGGATTTGAACCCAGGTGACTTGATTCCTCTTTTACTGTTGCTGCTATTACTACAAGATTCCTGTAGTGTTGCACTTCAGCGTTGCTCTTTATGCAATGCCTGGGTCTCAGCAGGAACAGAGGGAGGCATAGTGTCCCAGGGTTCCTGGATCTGACACTGCATTTACCTCATTTGATGATGTCCGGCCACATATCTGGGAGCTGTGCCTTTGTTTCTCCTCTCCATGGGCACGTGTCATTTAAGTAGGCCCTCAGCTAGATTCCCCTTTGAACCCCTCAGTCTCTCTTTCTCTCTCCTCCAGTGAAAAGACTTTTTGCATCCAATGTGTCTGATATGCAACCAAAGGGCCCACCTGCGCCTTTCACCCACAGCAAAAGGGGGCATCACAGGCCTCAACAAGAAGCACTTTCTTCTTTCCCCTGCTCTAACCTTTGCAGACACTTCTGTGCCATGGAAAGTGGCCCCATCTTTGTTCTTCAAGGAGACTGAGTGCAGTTTAACTAAGACCTAGAGAATGATTTAGGGCATATGAGGCAAGGGTGCCATGTATTTGGGGAGGGAGGAAGCCCTTCAAAGGAGAGAGAAGCTAGAAAGACCCTGCAGGGAGTGAGACCCTCACAGGCTCTGGCCCCACAGAGAGCAAAGGGATTCCCCTCTCCCGCTGCACTGGGTGGGAATGGGCACACACTCCCTGAGCCCCATTGTTTAAGGCCATTTCCACCCACATGGAGGCTGGGAATCATGACTACAGAGGCACAGTGAGAGGAACTTACTTGGCCTTCGCCATTTCTTCCAGACTCCACATACAGGAAGGCAGAATAAACCAGCAGCATCTCAACGTAAACTCTTGCCTTTCACTCTGACTCGGGTGTCCAGGGCTCTTGAGTCCATGAGTGATGCGGGGGCCTTGGGTCCACTCTCTTGGCCACCCCTCCACCGCCTTAGAAAGACCCCAGACACTCTGGTGGGCTCCCTGGAGCACAGACACTAGTGGAATGGGGATTATTCCAGCTAAAATCAATGTCTGCTGTGTTTCCACCTCAACCAAGAAAACATTTCTCATGTTTACCATCCGTTGAGGCATGTTTCCTTTTTCTCTCCACATATGAGATTATAGAGTAGATTCATTCCTTTGGCAAATTTGACACATGTCCACACCCTACTCAAGATTCCACAAATTCCCTTCCACAAAATGTGCAGCCCCTGATACAGTGAGAGCAAAATGTTATGGGGTGGGGCTGATACTCAGGTGGCAGATACAGCCGTCTCTGTTCTGCAACCCCAATTTCTAACCCTCATGCCTGGCTGGGTAAAGATGGTGGAACTAGTTTCAAATGCTGAATGGCAAGCATATCACATGTACAAACTTCTGTGCAATTTCCACAAACCCAAGTGGAAGAAATTTCCTTCTGTCCTGGTGCTCTCACTAAGCATCAGTGAAAGTTTTCTGAGGCACCACATTCCTAACCTAGAAGTGGATTTGAGGCTGCCAGTGGGTACTCTCCACACTACTTCCCTGTTGCTCCCAAACACCCAGAGAGAAACCACCTCTTACACTAGGCACATAGCTCTCCATCGTATTCCAAGGCCCAAGACAAGCTAGTGCCGACTGCACATACTTAGGGTTGAAGGACTGACCAGAAACACTTGGTACCTCTGGGCCTTGGAAGGAACCATGCGGGTGGGGTTCCATGTTATGGTCCTGCTGTCCTGCCCCTCCCTGCTCAGCTGAGCATCCAACAGTGTCCTGGGTGACCCAAGCCTCAGCACTCAGCCAATGTGCTGGGATAGTCCCATCTTGCTTTGCAAGGGTCGTGTCTATATTAACAAGAACCTAAAACAGGTTCAAAATGATCACTTCCCAAAGAAGACTCCACCCCCAGCCCTGCCAGATGAACACATTCCCACAAAGAAGTCATCACAGAGACATAAGAGACAGGAATCTCTTTACCCTCTATGCATGTGACTTTTAAATACCAGAGACACCCGGTGAGCCAATAAGCCCTGTCTGCTGACAACAGGCATAATTGCCTGCTCGTGCTGTTCAGAGACACTGCCCAGTCAACCGGTTTCAATTTCAACAAATGACAGAGCTCTAGTAATTGAAGTTGGTGGCAATAGGAGGCCCCCACATGTCTCCCTTGGCCAAGGGTGTGGGTGAGACTCTTGGTGGAGGGGACTGGAGAGAAGAGGCTGAGCACTGACCTGCAGCATCTGGAGGTAGCCTTCCTGGGGGTCGCAGAGCAGGGAGGAGATGCGGTGGTTGTTCCTCGTGCATTTCTGATTGTCCTTTGCAGACGGAAAGATTTGCCGGACCACGGTCATCCTTCCAAGGGCACTATGGACCAGATCCAGGATCTCCGGGTCACTGATTTCCTAGAAAAATAACCAGGCCCATGCTTACCATCCACTCATGAACTATCTCTGCAAGAGACCTATCAGGAGGCATCTAGGCCAGCAGCCTGAAAAGCTGATGCCAAAGAGGGCAAGGGATTGGGCCCAGGTCACACAGTTCATTAGTTGCTTATTCACAAATAATACTTGCTATCCCTTAGAGGCAAACAAGATTAGTCAACATTTTCCCTGAAGGCTAGAAAAAGACGTTTGAGACTAAACCACTGGTGCACTGGTTTCCACAGGTGTGAAGCTTTTAGGAACTAATGCCATAAAAGGTCATGGTAGACATTAGCAAGACAGAAAGGCTAACTTTCCTTTTGGGAGTCACCTACCTGATTCTGACAAGGAAAGCTGGGTTTCTCTGCCATAGTTGATCAATATACAATGAGTTTCCATGAATTCTTCCAGAATTACATTCATTTTACAAAATATTTGCACACGAATTTTGAGAATATATCCATTCATTTATTCACTATTCATTCCACAAAATCTACCTATATCTCTGAAGTTTGTTCTGTACTAAGCACTGTGGATACAGCCAGAAAAAAATCAGGCCCTATCCTGTCCCATAAATCTCATGGGCATCCTAGGATGGATTATGCCAAGTTCCAGGGCTAAGGAAACCTATGTGCTGTCTATATTGACTACAAAAAGCCCTTTGCTCACATTAGCTTATTTAGTGCTCACAACATCCCATCCTGGTATGATCCACTGTGGAGCATAGAAATAGCAGGGGGAGGAGACCACAGGAGCTCTTTCCAGAACAGGGCTTCCATGAGGAATCTGACAAGGGGTGGACTTGTGATGGTTAATATTGAGTATCAACTTGATTGGATTGAAGGATGCAAAGTATTGTTCCTGGGTGTGTCTGTGAGGGTGTTGCCAAAGGATTTTAACATTTGAGTCAGTGGTCTGGGAGAGGCAGACCCGCCCTCAATCTCAGTGGGCAACATCTAATCAGCTGCCAGCATAGGTAGAATAAAGCAGGCAGAAGAAGCTGGAAAGAGCAGACTTGCTGAGTCTTCCAACCTCCATCTTTCTCCCGTGCTGGATGCTTCCTGCCTGTGAACATCAGACTCCAAGTTCTTCAGCTTTTGGACTCTTGTACTTACACCAGCGATTTTCCAGCCGCTCTCAGGCCTTCGGCCACAGGCTGAAGGCTGCACTGTGGCTTCCCTACTTTTGAGGTTTTGGGACTCAGACTGGCTCCTCAGTTTGCAGACAGCCTATTGTGGAACTTCACCTTGTGATCGTGTGAGCCAATACTCCTTAATAAACTCCCTTTCATATATACTTCTATCCTATTAGTCCTATCCCTCTAGAGAACCCTGACTAATACAGATTTTGTTTCTGGCTAACAAGTTCTGGAGGAGAAACTTGCTAGCCAAAGTGCCGCTGGTAGGCAGGGCACAGTTGCAGTTGAGGAGTTGGTGGTGCTGTGGAAGGAAGGTGGAGGGAGCTGCCAATAGCTCCCTGTTCCAGGTAGAGGGTAGAGGCAGCAGGGAGTGTGAAATGCTAAAGCCTTAGATGACCTGGGGAGGGACAGAGCAACTGGTCCCCTGCAGGGAATGCTTGTGGGGCAGAAGGAACAGTGGTCAGTGGCAGGGCTAGAGCCCCATTCAGGGCCAGATGGGAGAACAGAGGGTCAGTACACCCCACAAAATGCTAATATTAAGGGAGACAAGGAGCTCTTGAAAGGATCTGGGCTCAAACAAGCCATAGATTTACATTTTTGAAAATCTCTGACTGCGGTAGGGCGAGAGGATTAGAGAGGAACAAAACTGGAGGAGGAGAGAGCAGAGAAGAGAGCACCCTTCTCTGTAGCTGTGTGCAACATGGGAACTACAACAAAAATGGAAACTAACACATACAGACGCCCCTCAACTTAAGATGGGCTTACATCCTGACAAACCCATCATACGTTGAAAATATCATAAATAAAAAATGCATTTAATCCTCCTAGCCGACGAACATCGCAGCTTAGCCTTGCTCAGAATGCTCACGTTAGCCTACAGTTGGGCAAACTCACCCAACAGAAAGCCTATTTTATAATAAAGTGTTGAATATCTCACAGAATTTCTTGAATGCTGTACTGACAGTGAAAAACAGAATGGTTTTATGGGTACTAAACTGGGTATTCTACTGAATGTGTATCATTTTCATGCCATTGTAAAGTCAAAAAATTGTAAGTCAAACCATTCTAAGTCAGGATAAGTCAGCCTGTATAAGCCAACAATTTCAGTGATGGAAGAGAGGGCTAGCCAGGTTAAGAAAAGCTCTGGTTCACTCTTTCTAAGAAGGGACTAAGTCAGCGGTAAATTACAAGACAAAATTTTAACTACAAATAGCTACATTTTGAAATAAGTCTTAAATCTTTCTCCTTGCATGTGACACATTCTAGCTTTGAGACAATATGATGGTAAAAAGGAAGCTAATGAGGTTGGGAATTAGTGATGAGGGTTTCAAAATCATTTAAACAAGAACATAACATTTTTAAGGGTAAGATGGTAAACAATGTATTTCAGAAACTGTCTTAAGAAGCTGATATGTGTGTGAAGCCTGGTCAGTTGAAACTGGGTGCTGGGTCTGGGAGAAAGTAAAATATTAAGGATTGTATCCTTTTAGGATAATTAATATTTCCTAAATATACTGAATTACAGGGATTTCAAAAGAACTCAAATGCTATTACATATTGGATTTGGGTTTAAACTACTAAACTGTATTTCAGACAAAAGTCTGTTCAAGGGAAGATGATTTTATTAGATTGGAACCGACAGACAGTCAAAGGTGGGGAAATTGACAATGTCCATATCTCAGGACTACCAGATGGAATGGGCCTAGAACACAGCTGGGCTTCAGGGAGGGGAGCAGAGGGCACAGCTGAGCCTGGATGTGCATGCTCAGCTCTGCTCTTAGCTGCCTTGGTGACCAAGGCCCTGCCCCGAACACAGGATACAGAATAAGAGAAATCACATTCTAATCTGAGACAAAGTAAGAATATAAGAAAAAGCAATGAGTAGGTTAGTTAGTTTTACCTGAAAGACAGAATATAAAGGACCTGGGGAGGTCATGAAGACCCTAATTTAAATTATGCACAAAAGAGAGAATCAGAGCCAGTACACCTCCAAGAGGAATTGGATGTGTCTCATGCCTTTCGTTTTTCCCATATTCTCTTGATGGCTGAGGGCACTGTAGGAATAACAGGCCATTTTCCTAGAAGTCCTTTGATTAAACTTCTCCTGCTTCCTCAACTTTCTGGAGGGAGAATCTGCAGCACTGAGCTCTCCCCACTACACCCCAAGCAGGACCCTGGAAATCTGTAGTGGAGTTGACTTACAAAGTTGCACAGTACGTTTCTGTAAACACAACCATCACTTTCCCTGGCAACCTGGGGCAGCACCTGGAGTGAGTGGCTAAGTGGGCCAAGGGCAGCCACCACATCAAGTGGGCTCAGCCCCTGCCCCCAACTCCCTTAGTCTGCACTGTTTCTTTTCCATTCTACCCACCTGGGAATTCTTGAAGGCTCCCTTTCCAACCCATTAGCTGCCATATGTCTTCCTCACAGTGAGGGTCTGCAGGTACCTTGCAGAACTTCCTGTTTCCCCTAATCCAGTTTTCATCCATGTGCTCTGGGTCAGAGCATGTATGCTGGCTGCCAATGTACTCCTACCCACCTCCTTGCACTTGTGGGATTATTCTTACTGTACAATCCAGAGATATTTGCAATCAGAATCTAACAAGCCACAGAAGCAGCTTCCCCACTTCCTTGGGGTCAATTAAAAAGGTCACTTTTCTCCTTGCGTAAGTCCCAAACCTGTGTGATCAGTCAGTTCTAGAAGTTTCATGCCAGGCCCTGCTCTTGTCCTGTTGGTCCTCCTGGGTCTCTTGTAGTGCCACAGGGGTGAGTATAGGGATGCATCCACTCCCTGCTCACTGATGTCAGGCTGCACACACCAGGCTGCATTTCCTGGCTGCACACATCAGGTCAGTCTCTGTACTACTATGAGACACCCCGACCTCGGGACCTTCTTAAGTGTGCAGAGGGCAATCCAAGTGGCTTCTTGGAAAACAAACTTTCCCTTTGTCCTGGGCAAAGATTCCCTCCAGTAGTGCAGCCAATGAGCAGAAGAAGCAAGATAATGTATATACAACACTATTAGAAGTCAGCAAGTCAGCAGCACAGACAAAAGTAACACATCATACACAGATGCTCACTGAGTGCACGGGCTCAAAATAAGCCTTTTGTATTTTATTACTTTTTAAGTTTATATTGTGAAATATATCTTATGTACAAACATTACATACATTAAATATGAATAATAAAATGATTTCAGTGCGCCTTTCATCAAGCTAAGAAATAAAATATTACCCACATCTTGGTTGGATGCCTCCTTCTCAAAAGCTTACTCCTTCCTCCTCACAGAAGCAGCCTTCATCATGCTCTGATTAGTGTAGCGTAACCCAAATAACATACAGTTTAGTCTCATTTATTCTGTTTAGCTTTGGGTAAGCTAAACAATGTGTATGCCTCTTGCAACTGTGTTCTAACACGCTGTTTCTCAAACTTCGTTGTGTATCAGTACCACTTGGGAACTTAATAAAATTACAAAACTCCAGTCCTGTCCCACTTCAACAAGCAACGTCTCTGGGTACCCCATTAGCTTTCCAGATAATTCCAATACTCACCACCATTTAATAACCACTGGTTGAACATTAAGCATTAGTGATTGATTCATGGCTGATAGGTGCAGCTCAGCTCTAGTTTATTCATTTTCAAAGCTGTGCACAATCACATTGTATGACTATATTACAATTTATTCACCCTATTGTTGATTACCATTTGACTGTTTTGTTTGTTTGCCCTTACAAAGTTTCCATGTACATTGTCTTGTGCATGTGTCTTGGTGTGCTTGAGTAAGAATTTCTTTAGGATATATATCTAGAATTAAAGTTCCTTGATTAGAAAATAGGAACATATTCAAATTTACTAGGTAACAGCAAATATGTAAAGTGTAAAATAAATTTATATATTTGGGTTGATTTCTGTCATATTATTTATATTCTATATTTTGCTATTTTTTCATTTTTCCTTTTTATAAAGTGGTTTTACAAAGTTATAATCATATGTGGTAAGGGAGTTTCTGTTGCTCTACCTCCTTGCCTACACCTGATATTGTATGACTTCCTAATATTTGACAGTCTGGTAAGTATGCATTGGAGCATTGTTAAATTTTATTTTCACTTCCCTAATTCTTAATAAGGTTGAATATCTTTTATACACTTATGAATCATTTGTATTGCCTTTCCTGCATTTGTGCTTTTGTCCAATTTCCACTGAGTTGGTTCTCTTGCATGTTAATTTGTGGGAATATATTTTTTTATTCTAGATACAAAGCCTTTGTCACCTGCTACGGGTATCTTCTCCACGTTCAGGAATGTTTGTTAGAACCAGGCTACAAACCCATCTAACTTTGGTTCTTTGTGGAAAGGCTGGCTTTGTAGCTTACCGTGTGGTCAGTTTGTACTACATGAACGTTTCATGTGCATTCACTGTTCATTTGTTGGTGTCAATGGTCATTTTTAGGTCCATTAAAAATCTGTGTATTTCTCTTTGAATATTGGCTATTTTTAATATATTTTGGGGTTATGTTATTTTATTTTATGTATTTATTTATTTATTTTGAGACAGAGTCTCGTTCTGTCTCCTGGGCTGGAGTGCAGTGGCACAATCTCGGCTCACTGCAACCTCCACCTCCCGGGTTCAAGCAATTCTCCTGTCTCAGCCTCCTGAGTAGCTGGGACTACAGTCGCATGCCACTACGCCTGGCTATTTTTATTTTTATTTTGTTTGTATTTTTAGTAGAGACGGGGTTTCACCATGTTGGTCAGGCTGGTCTTGAACTCGACCTCAGGTGATCCACTCGCCTCGGCCTCCCAAAGTGCTGGGATTACAGGTGTCAGCTATCGTGCCTGGCCAGGGGGTTTTTTTATTCGTTACACACAGTATAGAAAGACAGCCCTTGCTGAATTAAATGTTACCATCATATAGATACCCTATTTATTTCTAGTAACACATCTTGCCTTATGGTCTATTGTGTCTGATATTAATATAGCTACATGAGTTTTATTTGGTTAGCATCTGCCTGCTCTAACGTTTTCCATCTCTTTGCCATCAGTCTTTCTCTGTCTCACATTTTAGTTGGAATGCCTGTAAACCTAATATACTAGATATTTTACATCCATATTTGAATTTTTAGTAGAAATTTCAATCCATTTATATTCATTATGATTATTTATATATTTGGATTGATTTCTATAACATTATTTATATTATACATTTTGGAGTTTTCTCTTTATTCCTTGTTTGTTTCCCTTTAAAATGATTTGTTTCCTATCTTTACTTATTTACCTACCCTTGGCAGTTATGTTTTCTATGTTATCTTTTATTGGTTATGCTAGATATTTTAATATGCATATCTAATAAAGTGTGAAGTTAATCAGTATTTTTACTCTCTTCTTTAATGTTTACTTCCAATCACCATTATCCCAACTAACACGCTAAAAACCTCCAGTATTTTAATTCAATCTTTCTTTGTATTTTCCCATTACACATTATTTCTATTGTTTGATACAGCCAATATTTATCTATGTAACCAATATTCATTAGTTTATTGGTAAGGCTTCTTTTAGAGACCTCAGACCTTATATCTGGGGTCATCTTCCTTCTCCTGAAGTATATGATTGAGAATTTCCTTTAATTTGGGTTTGTTGGTGATAAACTCAGTTTTTGTTTGCTGGGAAATGCCTTTATTTTTATCTCACTCTTGAAAGATATAATTCTAAGTCGACTACTATTTTCTCTTAGACATGGAAAGTAATATGGCACTGACTTCTAGCTTCCACTGCTGTCCAGTGTGTAAGTTTCCCACAGCTGCATTAACAAATTATCATAAACTTAGTGCTTCAGAATAACAGAGTTTTATTCTATCATATTTCTGGAGACCATAAGACCAAAATCCATTTCACTGGGCTGAAATCTCGGTGGTGGCCAGGATGCCCTCCTTTGGAGACCCTGGGGGAGACATGTTTCTCACTTCTTCCAGCTTCTGGTGGCCGTCAGCATTCCCTGGCTTGTAGCTGCATCATTCCAAGCTCTGCCTCTGTGGTTGCATCACCTCTTCTTCTTTCATACAGTCAAACCTCCCTTTGTGTTCCTCTTATAAAGATGCTGGGATTGCATTTAACACCTATCCAGATAACCCAAGATAATCGCCCCATCTCAAGATCATTAACTTCATCATATCTGCAAAATGTCCTTTGCCATATAAGGTAATACTAACAGGTTCTAGGATTAGGCCTTGGATATCTTTGGAGTCCATTATTCAGCCCACTGCATCCAGATATTAAGAATCATTTTGGGGTGGAGCCAAGATGGCTGAATAGGAACAGCTCCGGTCTACAGCTCCCAGCGTGAGTGACACAGAAGACAGGTGATTTCTGCATTTCCATCTGGGGTACCGGGTTCATCTCACTAGGGAGTGCCAGACAGTGGGTGCAGGACAGTGGATGCAGCGCACCGTGTGCCAGCCGAAGGAGGGCGAGGCATTGCCTCACTCGGAAGTGCAAGGGGTCAGGGAGTTCCCTTTCCTAGTCAAAGAAAGGGGTGACAGATGGCACCTGGAAAATCGGGTCACACCCACCCCAATACTGCGCTTTTCCAATGGGCTTAAAAAATTGCACACCAGGAGATTATATCCTGCACCTGGCTCGGAGGGTCCTACGCCCACGGAGTCTCGCTGATTGCTAGCACAGCAGTCTGAGATCAAACTGCAAGGCGGCAGTAAGGCTGGGGGAGGGGCGCCTGCCATTGCCCAGGCTTGCTTAGGTAAACAAAGCAGCAGGGAAGCTCCAACTGGGTGGAGCCCACCACAGCTCAGGGAGGCCTGCCTGCCTCTGTAGGCTCCACCTCTGGGGGCAGGGCACAGACAAACAAAAACACAGCAGTAACCTCTGCAAACTTAAATGTCCCTGTTTGACAGCTTTGAAGAGAGCAGTGGTTCTCCCAGCACACAGCTGGAGATCTGAGAACGGGCAGACTGCCTCCTCAAGTGGGTCCCTGACCCCCGAGCAGCCTAACTGGGAGGCACCCCCCAGTAGGGGCAGACTGACACCTCACAGGGCTGGGTACTCCTCTGAGACAAAACTTCCAGAGGAACAATCAGGCAGCAGCATTTGCGGGTCACCAAAATCCACTGTTCTACAGCCACCGCTGTTCTGCAGCCACCGCTGCTGACACCCAGGCAAACAGGGTCTGGAGTGGACCTCTAGCAAACTCCAACAGACCTCCAGCTGAGTGTCCTGTCTGTTAGAAGGAAAACTAACAAAAAGAAAAGGACATCCACACCAAAAACCCATCTGTACGTCACCATCATCAAAGACCAAAAGTAGATAAAACCACAAAGATGGGGAAAAAACAGAGCAGAAAAACTGGAAACTCTAAAAAGCAGAGCACCTCTCCTCCTCCAAAGGAACGCAGCTCCTCACCAGCAACGGAACAAAGCTGAACGGAGAATGACCTTGACGAGTTGAGAGAAGAAGGCTTCAGACGATGAAAATACTCCGAGCTATAGGAGGAAATTCAAACCAATGGCAAAGAAGTTAGAAACTTCAAAAAAAATTAGACAAATGGATAACTAGAATAACCAATGCACAGAAGTCCTTAAAGGAGCTGATGGAGCTGAAAGCCAAGGCTTGAGAACTACGTGAAGAATGCAGAAGCCTCAGGAGCCGATGCAATCGACTGGAAGAAAGGGTATCAGTGATGGAAGACGAAATGAATGAAATGAAGCGAGAAGAGGAGTTTAGAGAAAAACGAATAAAAAGAAAGGAACAAAACCTCCAAGAAATATGGGACTATGTGAAAAGACCAAATCTACGTCTGATTGGTGTACCTGAAAGTGACGGGGAGAATGGAACCAAGTTGGAAAACACCCTGCAGGGTATTATCCAGGAGAACTTCCCCAATATAGCAAGGCAGGCCAACATTCAGATTCAGGAAATACAGAGAACGCCACAAAGATACTCCTCAAGAAGAGCAACTCCAAGACACATAATTGTCAGATTCACCAAAGTTGAAATGAAGGAAAAAATGTTAAGGGCAGCCAGAGAGAAAGGTCGGGTTACCCACAAAGGGAAGCCCATCAGACTAACAGCAGATCTCTCAGCAGAAACTCTACAAGCCAGAAGAGAGTGGGGGCCAATATTCAACATTCTTAAAGAAAAGAATTTTCAATCCAGAATTTCATATCCAGCCAAACTAAGATTCATAAGTGAAGGAGAAATAAAATACTTTACAGACAAGCAAATGCTGAGAGATTTTGTCACCACCAGGCCTGCCCTAAAAGAGCTCCTGAAGGAAGCACTGAACATGGAAAGGAACAACCGGTACCAGCCACTGCAAAATCATGCCAAAATGTAAAGACCATCAAGGCTAGGAATAAACTGCATCAACTAACGAGCAAAATAACCAGCTAACATCATAATGACAGGATCAAATTCACACATAACAATATTAACTTTAAATGTAAATGGACTAAATGCTCCAATTAAAAGACACAGACTGGCAAATTGGATAAAGAGTCAAGACCCATCAGTGTGCTGTATTCAGGAAACCCATCTCACGTGCAGAGACACAAATAGGCTCAAAATAAAGGGATGGAGGAAGATCTACCAAGCAAATGGAAAACAAAAAAAGGCAGGGGTTGCAATCCTAGTCTCTGATAAAACAGACTTTAAACCAACAAAGATCAAAAGAGACAAAGAAGGCCATTACATGATGGTAAAGGGATCAATTCAACAAGAAGAGCTAACTATCCTAAATATATATGCACCCAATACAGGAGCATCCAGATTCATAAAGCAAGTCCTGAGTGACCTACAAAGAGGCTTAGACTCCCACACAATAATAATGGGAGACTTTAACACCCCACTGTCAACATTAGACAGATCAACGAGACAGAAAGTCAACAAGGATACCCAGGAATTGAACTCAGCTCTGCACCAAGTGGACCTAATAGACATCTACAGAACTCTCCACCCCAAATCAACAGAATATACATTCTTTTCAGCACCACACCACACCTATTCCAAAACTGACCACATAGTTGGAAGTAAAGCACTCCTCAACAAATGTAAAAGAACAGAAATTGTAACAAACTGTCTCTCAGACCACAGTGTAATCAAACTAGAACTCAGGATTAAGAAACTCACTCAAAACCACTGAACTACATGGAAACTGAACAACCTGCTCCTGAATGACTACTGGGGACATAATGAAAGGAAGGCAGAAATAAAGATGTTCTTTGAAACCAACGAGAACAAAGACAAAACATACGAGAATCTCTGGGACACATTCAAAGCAGTGTGTAGAGGGAAATTTATAGCACTAAATGCCCACAAGAGAAAGCAGGAAAGATCCAAAATTGACACCCTAACATCACAATTAAAAGAACTAGAAAACCAAGAGCAAATACATTCAAAAGCTAGCAGAAGGCAAGAAATAACTAATATCAGAGCAGAACTGAAGGAAATAGAGACACAAAAAACCCTTCAAAAAATTAATGAATCCAGGAGCTGGTTTTTTGAAAGGATCAACAAAATTGATAGACCGCTAGCAAGACTAATAAAGAAGAAAAGAGAGAAGAATCAAATAGACGCAATAAAAAATGATAAAGGGTATATCACCACCGATCCCACAGAAATACAAATTACCATCAGAGAATACTATAAACACCTCTATGCAAATAAACTAGAAAATCTAGAAGAAATGGATAATTTCCTCAACACATACACCCTTCCAAGACTAAACCAGGAAGAAGTTGAATCTCTGAATAGACCAATAACAGGCTCTGAAATTGTGGCAATAATCAATAGCTTACCAACCAAAAAAAGTCCGGGACCAGATGGATTCACAGCCGAATTCCACCACAGGTACAAGGAGGAGCTGGTACCATTCCTTCTGAAACTATTCCAATCAACAGAAAAAGAGGGAATCCTCCCTAACTCATTTTATGAGGCCAGCATCATCCTGATACCAAAGCTGGGCAGAGACACAACCAAAAAAGAGAATTTTAGACCAATATCCTTGATGAACATTGATGCAAAAATCCTCAATAAAATACTGGCAAACTGAATCCAGCAGCACATCAAAAAGCTTGTCCACCATGATCCAGTGGGCTTCATCCCTGGGATGCAAGGCTGGTTCAACATATGCAAATCAATAAATGTAATCCAGAATATAAACAGAACCAAAGACAAAAACCACATGATTATCTCAATAGATGCAGAAAAGGCCTTTGACAAAATTCAACAACCCTTCATGCTAAAAACTCTCAATAAATTAGGTATTGATGGGACATATCTCAAAATAATAAGAGCTATCTATGACAAACCCACAGCCAATATCATACTGAATGGGCAAAAACTGGAAGCATTCCCTTTGAAAACTGGCACAAGACAGGGATGCCCCCTCTCACCACTCCTATTCAACATAGTGTTGGAAGTTCTGGCCAGGGCAATTAGGCAGGAGAAGGAAATAAAGGGTATTCAATTAGGAAAAGAGTAAGTCAAATTGTCCCTGTTTGCAGATAACATGATTGTATATCTAGAAAACACCACTGTCTAAGCCCAAAATCTCCTTAAGCTGATAAGCAACTTCAGCAAAGTCTCAGGATACAAAATCAATGTACAAAAATCACAAGCATTCTTATACACCAATAACAGACAAACAGAGAGCCAAATCATGAGTGAACTCCTATTCAGAACTGCTTCAAAGAGAATAAAATACCTAGGAATCCAACTTACAAGGGACGTGAGGGACCTCTTCAAGGAGAACTACAAACCACTGCTCAATGAAATAAAAGAGGATACAAAGAAATGGAAGAACATTCCATGCTCATGGCTAGGAAGAATCAATATCGTGAAAATGGCCATACTGCCCAAGGTAATTTATAGATTCAATGCCATCCCCATCAAGCTACCAATGACTTTCTTCACAGAATTGGAAAAAACTACTTTAAAGTTCATATGGAACCAAAAAAGAGCCCACATCACCAAGTCAAGCCTAAGCCAAAAGAACAAAGCCAGAGGCATCACACTACCTGACGTCGAACTATACTACAAGGCTACAGTCACCAAAACAGCATGGTACTGGTACCAAAACAGAGATAGCGATCAATGGAACAGAACAGAGCCCTCAGAAATAATGCCACATATCTACAACCAGCTGATCTTTGACAAACCTGACAAAAACAAGCAATGGGGAAAGGATTCCCTATTTAATAAATGGTGCTGGGAAAACTGGCTAGCCATATGTAGAAAGCTGAAACTAGATCCCTTCCTTACACCTTATACAAAAATTAATTCAAGATGGATTAAAGACTTAAATGTTAGACCTAAAACCATAAAAACCCTAGAAGAAAACCTAGGCAATACCATTCAGGACATAGGCATGGGCAAGTGCTTCATGTCTAAAACACCAAAAGCAATGGCAACAAAAGCCAAAATTGACAAATGGGATCTAATTAAACTAAAGAGCTTCTGCACAGCAAAACAAACTACCATCAGAGTGAACAGGCAACCTACAGAATGGGAGAAAATTTTTGCAATCTACTCATCTGACAAAGGGCTACTATCCAGAATCTACAAGAACTCCAACAAATTTACAAGAAAAAAACAAACAACCCCATCAAAAAGTGGGCAAAGGATATGAACAGACACTTCTCAAAAGAAGACATTTATGCAGCCAAAAAACCATGGAAAAATGCTCATCATCACTGGCCATCAGAGAAATGCAAATCAAAACCACAATGAGATACCATCTCACACCAGTTAGAATGGTGATCATTAAAAAGTCAGGGAACCACAGGTGCTGGAGAGGATGTGGAGAAATAGGAACACTTTTACACCATTGGTGGGACTGTAAACTAGTTCAACCATTGTGGAAGTCAGTGTGGCGATTCCTCAGGGATCTAGATCTAGAAATACCATTTGACCCAGCCATCCCATTACTGGATATATACCCAAAGGATTATAAATCATGCTGCTATAAAGACACATGCACACGTATGTTTATTTTGGCACTATTCACAATAGCAAAGACTTGGAACCAACCCAAATGTCCAACAATGATAGACTGGATTAAGAAAATGTGGCACATATACACCATGGAATACTATGCAGCCATAAAAATGATGAGTTCATGTCCTTTGTAGGGACATGGATGAAACTGGAAACCATCATTCTCAGCAAACTATCGCAAGGACAAAAAACCAAACACCGCATGTTCTCACTCATAGATGGGAATTGAACAATGAGAACACATGGACACAGGAAGGGGAACATCACACTCCCGGAACTGTTGTGGGGTTGGGGGAGGGGGAAGGGATAGCATTAGGAGACACACCTAATGTTAAATGACAAGTTAATGGGTGCAGCACACCAACATGGCACATGTATACATATGTAACAAACGTGCACATTGTGCACATGTACCCTAAAACTTAAAGTGTAATAATAATAATATTTTTTTAAAAAATCATTTTAACTGTCATTCCCTTGTAGATGATATGCCTTTTCTGTTTGGATGCTTTTTTAGGTTTTTGCTTGTCTTTGGTGTTCTACAGTAGCATGTTATGCTATACCCAGATATGGACTTTTAATTTTTACTCTGTTTCTGATTCTTGGGATTCCTGAGTATGGAGTTTGATTTCTTTCAATAATTCTAGAAATTAGAAGCCTTAACATTGTTTATTATTTTTTCTTCTCCATTATGTCATATTTCGTTTTAGAAGTCCAATAAAAATATGTAGGACGTTTTCATTCTACCTTCCATGTATGTTAACTTCTTCATATTTTCCATCTCTTTGTTTCTCTAGGCCTCATTCTAAACAATTTCTTCATATTTTCCAGTTCACTAATTCTTTCTGCGTATGTATCCACT
Source organism: Homo sapiens (assembly GCF_000001405.40). Classification (NCBI taxonomy): domain Eukaryota; kingdom Metazoa; phylum Chordata; class Mammalia; order Primates; family Hominidae; genus Homo; species Homo sapiens. The sequence goes on from NC_000010.11 coordinate 85,883,201, forward strand.
TTGGTGTTCAACCTCTAAGATTTTTAACTTCAACTGTTAGATTCTTAATTTTCTGATGTTCTGTTCATTTCCTTTTCTATTTTGCTTTTTAAATGCCTTTTATTCCTTGCTCATATTTTCCAGTATCTATTTTTGAAACATATTTAAGCACACTTATTTAATATTCTACGTCAGATACTTCTAAATACGTAAAGTCATTTCAGATCTGATTAAACTGCACTTTATTGTTTCTTGGTTCTCACTCATGGTGACTTTTTTCTTTCCTTCGTTTTCCTTTGTCCTTCTCTCTCTGTCTCTCTCTCTCTCTCTGTCTCTCTCTCTCTCTCTCTGTCTCTCTCTCTCTCTCTCCTCTTCCCTCCCTCTCTCCCATCTTCTCTTTCTTCCTTGTTTTTTTCCGTCATGTACGTAATCTCATTTTCCTTAAAACTGCCTTATGAAGCCTTTGATTCACATTACTTCAAAAACTATTTATGCTGACTTCAAATACCTAACTAGGAGCACTAGTTATCTATAACCACTACAAATCTATAACCACTACAAATTTAAGTTTTCCTTTCAGCTTTTTAAAGACACCGTAAATAGTGGAAACTGGGATCACAAACCTGCATGGGAGTTATCAGTTCTGAAGAAAACTCCCCGCTCCATGCAACTCCAGTCAAGACTGAACATTTTCCTTGCCATCTCCTTCTGCATAGTGTGTTCATTTCTCATAATCCTTACACTGAAGATAGAAGTTTCCAGCTTTATGTAGAAATCTCTCATCAGGCTCCACATTTGTTTAGTTCTTAGACTTTATCTCATACGTCCTATTCCTTGCACAATCATAAGAAAAAATCTCAGGGTTTTCACAGTTGGGCAAATACATGCAAGGCAAAAATTAAATCTGAAGCTCACATATTGCTGGGAGTTCCTATTACCACTTTACATTTGGCCTTCATAGATGTTACTCTTGATGGACTCTATTTTTAAGTATTTTTAAATGTATTATATCTGGCTTTTTTGGTCATTTTTCCTTTTGTGAGTGTCATTCAGGCTAATTATTCTTCCATGAAGACATACTACTAAACCTTTTGTATGGAATTTAAATTCTTTAGCTCATGACCCTGGTCTTTTTCTGGGACACACACCTGCCTCCCAAATAGCTCCCTATATGTTTTGACTTTGTGACTGACTAAACCTCAGTTATTATGCTATAATTTATATTTGTTTCATTTGGCTGTCTCTTCTTAAGTTTCTTGTCATTAATATTAGAAAGAGGGCTATTTCTGAGGGGCCCAAGAGAAGCATGTGCACTCTCCTCCATTTGGCCAAATCTGAATTGTATTCTTGAATCATCTCATTATCGTGACTGAAAGAATGTAAACATTCTGCAGCTTCCACCTTATTTTGTTTGTTGCTTCAGAAATATATCCCTAAATTTCTGTTACTTCCTCTCCTACAATCTAATAGGTTCCACCCATAAATCCTATTTCATCAGTACTGCTCATTAAAGAGATCAGCCCTGTGAGAGATGATGGTAACTTAAGCTAAGGTGGCTGCAAATGGTCATCTTTAGAACTAGGTAAAATTTAGAATTTGGGGCATTAACTGTTGATGAAATTGGAATTGACTGATGGCAAAATACTGATGGATCTACCTCCATTTTCAATGGGAGAAGTATTTGCAATTTAAAAACCAGAATATTGTAACAACAAAAACAAGTAGAGAAGAAATGAGGGATGGAGTTTCAAGTTAACATCATATCCTTTTTACCAGTCATCAGAAAGTAAAAAAAAAGACTCTTTTATTGCCTTATACCATACTTAATAAAAGATTTCTGTGAATACACTAAAATATGAGAAATTGCTTCATGCACTACATAATAAAAAGAATCGCTGTCTCTAATTCTCTACTGAGAATGCACTGAATCTTAGAAAATCTGCATTTTGAATCAAATAAATTAAGAAACCTCTGCAAATCTCTACTTCACTTGCAAAGTGTTAAGACCAAAGAAAAGTTAGAATTCTGAAGAAAAGCCAATCCTCACATCCTCCCAAAAGGTACATGCTTAATTCACTGATTCGAAGCAAAACTGTCCTTTTTATAGTGTGCACTAAGGAAGGGGATAAGATGTGATTTCCCCTGTTCAGAGGAACATGTATATTCAGCCAGGGTATATGGCTGGCTTCAGGAGGACTTGCCATTCCAAAAAGTGTAAAGTGTGTATGTGCATTTTCCTGTGGAGAAAGCCCATAGACTATATTGGATTTTCAAAGAAGCCTTTAATCAAAACAAAAATGTGATGAATTACTGATATGGAGGCTAGTAATGGTTTCTAAAGTGCTCCTTTTTGCTAATTATGAGAACAATAAAAATGATGATAATACCAATGGGATAATTTGGAGACACAAGAGTTTCACTAACTGTCAGATTCAGCTATTTCTTCCTCACATCCATTCAGGCCTCTGATGTAATAACAGAAAAAGAAATAATAGAAGAAGTAATTGAATTAATATGATGGACTACCATGCAGCTAGAAAGATGACTGAATACATCTGCAGTGTTACTTCGTCACCTGCACAGATGTGGATGACAGAGTTAAGGAAAGCAGAAAAGAAAGGAAAAGAGGAATAAGTTACAGAGTGATAAATAAATACATTTATAGTAAAGATACATGTATAGTATAATATAATAAAAACTTAGATGAGGACACACCCAGCTTCAGGACAGTAGCTGTCCCTGGGGGAAAAGAGGAAGCTAACCAGCAGATCTGGTGCCTGCCTGAGACTCTTGCCCACTTCCTCCATGCTAGGGCAACCCCAGGGGGCTCTCCCCTCCAGGATACCCAGAACCAGAGCTGTGTCCTGCCTGGTCCCAGACCCAGAGCTGTGTCCTGCCTGGTCCCAGACCACCTGGGTTGTCCCAGTTTTAAGAGACAGCCATGGCCCCACTTCTGGTTGTTGAGACATAAGGGGGTTCTCCATGCTGGATTTTTTAGATGGTTTTCTGAATCCTAAGAAGAAGACCTAGAAGAGACAGCACCTTTCTGCCTCTGGATGTTTGAGTCCTGAGCAGAGTCCACTTGAGGGCCAGTCCATCACACTGCAAAGATCAGGGAACCCGAAGATGCCACTTAGCCTCTGAATTGCCCTACCTTGAAATCTTATGAATTGTCTCTGAACCATTTGTAAAGTGAAGTAATAAATTTTTAGACCATTCAAGGAAATTTGACTCATATTTTTCTGTTACTGTAGTCAAAACAACCTTACTGATTCACACTCTCATGGGACTTGAAATGGGGTACAGGGCAGATTTTCACTGTATCCAAAACAGCCAATTTCTCCAAATACGAGATCTCAAATATGGCAAAATTTCAATGATGGACATGTGGGTGTTTGTTATATTACTCTCTGTATCTTTTAAGCTTCTTAGAAATATTTCATTGAAAACAGAGAAAGAGTAACTGCAAAGGTCTCACTTCAAGCCAGGTTGAGGGACAAAGAGGATAAATTTTTATAATGAAGGGAAATTTTCAAAGCCACAAATAAAATAGTAAGGATCTCTTTTTTTCAAAATATATATTTTGGCAAACCAGGTGCAAAACTCATGCACAGATAAGTTTTTGTCTGATCTGCAAAACTTCAGTAAAATTTTGGAAAGTTCCGATATCAGAGAAAAATATTATTAAACATTTATATAAATCTCTAAACTTATACAGGGCTATGCAATCACATTATTAGTCATTTCCTTTTATTCCTTAGGAAGACCTAGATCTATCAAACATCTGTGTGATACCAGCATTACTCCATTTCTGGAGAAATAATAAAGTTTATTTTCCTCTTCCAAACCATGGTGTCAGTAATCTAAGTTGATGACAGTAGAGAAACTTCAGGCAAGGCCAGCTTAAGAAAAGTTGAGAAAATAAAAGAATTCAATAAAGACGTGATGACAGAATAACTCCCACTGAAGTCAACAGGGTTTTCAGAATGTGTGTTGCATTCAGGTCCCTATAGACCACCTAGGGCAAGGCAGACCAAGGCTCCATGGAGATCAGGACATCCTGAGTAGGAAGAGAGGGTGGGAGACAAAGCTTGGCACTGATTACATCTCCAGGACAGAGGACAGTGGAAGAAGGGGCATCTTCTGAGTAGTCATCCTGACCAGAGGCACATCATCTCATTAGCTGCCCCCTAAAAACTTATGGGGTATGCATGAGTCTCCCTGGTTTGCACAGGCCACAGCAACTTGCCAAAGAGGGTTCTTTTGTTTCCTAAAGTGAGATCCATGGGCCAACAGTATCAGCATCATCTCAGAGCTTGTCAGAAATGCAAAGTCTCAGGCCCCACCCTAAACCTATCTCATCAGAATCTGCATTTTAACAAGATCCCCAGGTGACTTATGGGCACATTAATGTTTGAGAAGCCCTGGTCTAAGATATTATGCAGAGAAGTGATGAGCGTAGGGTCTGAAATCAGATGGATTTGACTTCCAACCCCGCCTTCTTCTCTTCCTGATGGTGTAACTTGGACAAGGCACTTAATTTCTTTGAGCATCATTTATAAATGGAATAATAGTACTTCCTAGGGTTTTGACAAAGTTCAGTGGCTTTAATTCAATAGGATACAATGTGTCTAGCCCGAAGTTTTGCAGTGAGTCCTCCTTATCCATCTAACTTAAAAACTAAACGTCTTTCTACAACCTTTGATGCCCATCAAAGACCTGCCTCTACCTGGCCTCCATGCAAGCCAGAGCAGCCCTTTTTCTGCCCTTCCCATCATCCCATTCCTCCTACAGCCTCTTCTACACCCTTAAGGAAGCCCATAGCAGACCATCCCAATTTTCAATTAGCTCTTTACTGTTCCTCACCTCCAGGAAATCTTAGGTACCCTTGACCCCTTGCCAGGACATCAAAACAGGACTCAACAATTCTGTTATGAAATAAATGAGCCATTGTTTGAAAAGTAGTTCAGCTTCCTTTGTTTGTATAAATGACGCAATAGCTTCTGCTCACTGTAGAGCCAGCACTCTGCCTGCCCTCATACTCTGGCTGCCCAGCATTCAGCTAGCAGAGCTGCCTCTCATCCACCTCCTCCATCACAGCCCATTCCCAAGCGTGGGCCCAGTCAGCACAGACAGCAATCTGCAGCAGTCTCCTCTCCCTAAAGACTAGCACGTGGAGGAACAGGCTCTCTGCTCAGTTCTGGCAAACCCTTCCCAGATCTACTGGTTTACAAGGAGAACCTGGTATACCAGCCAGAGAAGTCCAAAGTCCTAAGAACTTTACATTTTGAGAAGCTTACCCCATTTTATCAATCAACTTGTATTTCTTCACATTTTACTCTATTTTGTTCAATCATATTTAACCATAAGCACAAGGTGGACATCTCCCTGCCAATGAGACTAGGGACCTACACTGAGGACAGTGACTCGAGCTCCTCTGGCTGGTTGGTTATTTATAGGTGATGGACGTGTTTAGGTGGGCTGTCTGTGAGATTTATCCATCTTCTCCTCAGTTCTCTCCTCATCCCTTTTTTCTTGTCACCTACTTTTACTTTCTGCTTTCCTTTTGTTTTTACTATTTCCTTTGTCTCTCACTCTTCCTCCCTCTCTCTTTTTCTTTTCCCTCTTTTTCCTTCATCTTCTCTGAGCTTCCTGCTTCTGCCATAGAAAATTCTACCTAGCAAATTCTAAATTCTCAAAACTCCATTTCACCCATCCCTGCTCATTCAATTTCCTTTAATTCCAATGGACTCAGAACATTCAGGGTAGGTCAAAGCAATTCCCAAAAGTGGTTTATCAATTGCTAACCTTACTCTGACTTTTTCAGATGTGATATTCCTGAAATATGCTCTAAGTTGCATCTGAAATGTAAACTTCTGCAGGTCTACTTGGATTTTAAAAGCACTGGAATAACTGTTGGGACAAGTTAAAACAGCTTTGCCTGGCATTTGGAGGGACGGCAAATCTAGAGTGTTTGCAGTTCAACAATCAAGGCAGAGGCTGAGTGGGAAGTTATCCAGGTAACGGGTTTCAGCAGTCACAGGCAGAGACATGCCCCTTTCTGCAATCCCCTGCACCCAACAGAGCAATGTGGAAATAGGCCCAGAAAAGGAGTTTCAATTTTGTAACATTCACCAACTTCTCTCCAATCTCCCCTTACCCCTCTCCTCCCAAGATTCTGGTAACCACTGTTCTACTCTCTACTTCTACGAGATCAATATTTTTTAGATTCCACTTGAGTGAGATTATGCAGTAATGGTCTTTCTGTGCCTGGCTAATTTTACTTAACATAATGTCTCCCAGGTTCATAAATATTGTCTCAAATGACAGAATTTCACTCTTTCTTATGGCTGAATAGTATTCTCTTTTGGTTTTATACTACATTTTCTTTATCCATTCATCTGTTGATGGACACTTAGGTTGTTTCCATAGCTTGGCTATTGTCAATAGTGCTGCAATAAACATGAGAGTTCAGGTACTTTGGAGATGTTGATTTCCTTTCTTTTGGATAGATACCCAGAAGTGGGATTGCTGGTTCATAGGGTAGTTATATTTTAATTTTTTGAGAAACCTCTATACTGTTTTCCATAATGATTGTACTAATTTACATTCTCACCAACAGTGTGTTAAGATTCCCTTTTCTCCGCATCCTCATCAATACTTTTTATCTTTTATATTTTTTATAATAGTCATTTTGATAATGAGTGAGGTGTCATCTCATTGTGTTCTCTTTTTTAAATTGACACATAATGCACATATTCGGGGGTATATAATGATGCTTCAATTCATACAATGCATAGTGATCAGATCAGGGTGATTAGCATAGCCATCACCTCAAAGTTTATCATTTATTTGTCTTGGGAATGTTCAATATCTTCCTATTAGCTATCTGAAATGATATAGTATATTATTGTTAGCTATAGTCATCCTACAGCGCTGCAGGACACTAGAACTTATTCCTTCTATCTAGTGAGCCATTGTGGTTTTGATTTGCAATTCTCTGATGATTACTGATGTTAGGAGAAATAAATTCTGGTAATCTATTGACCATCGGGCAAACTATAGTTAACAATAATATACTGTATATTTCATAATAGCTAGAAGAGAGGTTTCTGAATGTTCTCACCACAAGGAAATTACAAATGTATGACATGATGGATATGCTCATTACCCTGATTTGATCATTATACAACGTATATGTGCATGAAAATACCACATTGTACCACCCATAAATATGTACAATTATTGTGTCAATTTAAAAAAAGAAAATGGGTTTTAAGAAATGCATAAAGAAACTCCATTAACTCAGATCTAAAATTCATAAGGATCTTTTGGTCATTCACTGTATATACCCACAATTTTCATTTAGTTCAGGACTACTGTAAATTCTCACTGTGCCTCCAAAACCAAAAGGAAATTGTAAGTGATAATCCATTGCTCTGTCTATGCTGGAGTTAGAACCAGAACCAGCTCTTCCACGGTGAGGTAAATGTCTCCTGTTGTGCTATCTTCCTAGCTCTGAGCACCAGGCCTGGTAAGTACTCATGAAGGAAGAAGGGAAGGGAAGGAGGAAAGAGCAAAGGAGCAAGGGAGAGAAGAAGGAAGAGAGAAAGAAAAAGGGAGAGGGGAGAAAATGAGTTATTTAGAATTACACACACATACACAAAAAGTGAACCTCAAAATTTTTAATATTTTAAACTATGACCTGAGTAGCTATCTCCATAACACAAAGCCAATTCTTTTCATTCTGTTGTTAAATTATTAAAAGCTGGCTGAGCCCTTTAATTCACAGTTTACTCCCCAGGCAGATATTCAAACAGAAAAATAAATATAATAACAGCTGATCCTTCACAGTCCTCATTTGCTTGCCTGTTGCAAACCACTTTAATTATTTTGTTTGCAATACCTATTTGTTTATCTCAGGAGAATATTTAAATCCACTTCTGTTTGTGCACAACTATCCCTACCACTAGGAAAATGAGACCTTATGTTTCACATTAACACCTCATTTTTTTTATCCCTGAGGAGCTGACAGAGAATTATAATTTTAATTGCATATATAATTTAAAATCCTAAAAAATTACCACAAAAAACTTTCCAAAGATGATTTAGAAATAAAATTGCATGGCCCAGAGCCCTTAAGTGTCATGATTCTGGAGTTTATAGCCCTGTATTTAACATATCCAATCCTTACATCTGAACAAGACCCAATTTTGTAGACCCAAGTGTAAAGATAAAAAACATACATTCAGAAGGAAATATAGCATGATAATTAAGAGTGCAAATGCTGGCTGTGGTGGATTAATAAGGGCTGAATTTACCTGTCATGTTAAACAACTAAAAACAAACAAAATATATGCAACAAGTTTTCAGACATTGGATAACAGGCATAACTAGACATACATAACTAAACCCCCTGAATCCAGGGAAAGGACCATCTGAAAGGAGCAGGTGCAGCAATCCTTAGAAATAGGCCAAATTAGCAACAGACTAAAGAGATCTGCATAACAAAGCTCCAAAGCAAGTCTTGAAACATCAAAATATTCAAAGTAATTCAGCTGTGTCCCAAGGAGGGAGAAAGTCTTTAAAGGACTAACAATGAATCAAGCACCCAACCATGTAAAAGCATAATGTCTGGCATCTAATCAAAAATTATCAGGCACATAAAGAAGTAAGAAAATACAATCCATAATGAGGATATGTCAATATCCTCAATCAATCCTCAATCAATCAATAGAAACACACCCAGAAATAATGCAGATGGTAGATGGTAATTAGGAAAACAGGACATTAAAATAGATATTATAAATATTATAAACATATACCATATGTAAAGAAGATAGAGCAAAACATGCATGATAGGGAGAAAAATAAAAGGCACAAATTGGATTTAACAAATAGAATATGTAATGCCTGAGATGAAAAATACACTGGATAAAATTAACAGCACATTAGACACTGTAGAAGAAAAGTCGATGAACTTGAAAGTATGGCAACAGAAACTACTCAAAATGAATCATGGAGATAAAAAAAAAACAAAAAAAAAAACAGGAAAAAGATCAACAGAGCATTAGTGAGAATAGAATAATTTCAAGCAGCCTAATATACAAGTCATTCAAGTCCATGAGGGAGAAGAGAGAGAAGGGGATACAGAAAAAAGTACTTGAGAAAATAATTGCCAAAAAGTTTCCAAGTTTGATGAAGAACACACATAATTAAGCACATAACCAAAGAGAGGCAAAGAAAAAATCCTAAAAGCAGCTAGAAGAAGAAGATCCGATATGCAGGGAGAAATAAAACTAAGATTAAGAGCTGAGTCCTCATCAAGGCAAGCCTGAAGTCCGTGATACATCTTTTAAGTATGAAAAGAAAAAAAAAGAAAACTATGTTTTTCCTAGATTTTTATACATGCAAAACTAAAGCAAAGACGTTTTTAGAAAAATAAAAGGTAAAAAAAAAAATCTTCAGGAAAAAAAGATAATCTAAATAGTCCTAGATCTGCTAAAAAAATAGAATGTGTTCTTAAAATCTTTCCATGAAGGGTATTCAGAGGAACCTTTTCAGACCCAGATAACGTCATTGGTGAATTCTACATGCATTTATGGAAGAAAGAATACCAATTTTACACAAACACTTTCAGAAAATTGAAGAGGAGGAAACATATTGCAACTCATGTCAGGAGGCCATCACTACCCTGATAACAAAACCAGACAAAGGGTTTACAGGATAAGAAACTGAAGCCAATTTTTGTATCTCTGGGCATAGATACAAAATTTACAGATTTAAAATTTCTTTAAAATATCTTAGCCAATACTTTAGCTAAAATATTTTAATTTTGAATCCAACATTTTCTTGAAAAAAGACAAAAATATTCATCCCAGGACTGCAGGTTGGTTTTACACTTGAAAGTGAATCAATTTAGTTCTCCACCCTAACAGAATAAAAAAGACAAAACGTGATTATCTCAATAGATGCACAAAAAATATTTGGCAAAATTCAAGATCCAATTATGTTAAAAACTCTCAGCAAACTAGGAATAAAAGAAAACTTCTTCAACATGATAAAGGATATCAACAATCAACCTACATCTAACATCATCATTAATGATAAAAGGCTGAATTTTTTCCCCTAAGAGCAGGAAAAAGGCATAGATATCCGCTACTATTACTTCTACTCAACATTGTGCTGGAGGTTCTAGTCAGGGCACCAGGGCTAGAAAAATAAGTGAGAGAGATCCAGATTGGAAAGGAATAAGAATAGTTCACTATATTCAGGGATGGCATGATAGTCTATATCGAAAAATCCCAGGAAATCTAAAACAAAAACCTACCAGAACTAAGAAGTGAATTTAGCAAGATTAGGAACACAAGGTCAATATCCAGAAACCAGTTGTATTGCTACATGCTAGTAACAAACAATTGCAAATCTAAATGAAAAAAGAAACACCATTTACAATTATAGGAAACTTATTAGATATTTGGAGACTAATTTAACAACAAGACCTGTACACTTAACAGTGTAAAACATTGCTAAAAATAATTAAGAAAGACCTAAATAAATGAAAAGATATGCTTTGTTCATGAATTAGAAGACAATATTGTTAAGATGCCAATTCAACACAATTGAAATTAAATCCTAGCAGGATTTTTCTAGAAACTGACAAGTTAATTCTAAAATGCGTATGGAAATGCAGGGCCTCAACTAGGGTAAGGCACTATCACAAACTTCAGAGTGAATTCCTCTTAAATTTTGTGTCCTGAGTGCCTCACTTGTCTCACCCTAGTCCCACACCTGTGAAAATGTGAAGAACCTAGAAAGGTGAAAACGACGTTTCAAAAACAGGACAAGGTACAGAACTTTCTCCTCTTGATTTCAAAGTTAACTGTAATGCTACAGTTATTGAGATAGTGTGGCACTGCTGGGACAATAGACAATCCTTCCACCAGTCAATGGTCAATGAAACAGAAAAGAAAGTCCAAGAATAGATACACATACTGAAGGGCAATTGATTTTTGACAAAAGATCCAAAGTAGAAAGGATATTTTCAATGGCTGGTGCTGGAAAAATTAAATAACTATATAAAAAAATAAAATAAGGATTAATCTTAACCCTTACCTCATATCATATGCAAAAATTAACCGCCAATATACACAACAACATGCGTGTGTCTCAAAATCAATATGCTGAGTGAAATAAGCTCCACAAAAAAAGAGTATAATACAGGTATGATTCCATTGATATAAAATTCTAGGAAATGTAATCTACAGTGACAGAAAGGAGATCAGAGGTTGTCTTGAGATTAGGTAGAGGTAGAAATTATATGGGGCAGGAGGAAATTTTTGTGGGTTATGCAAAGATGCATTATCATGATTGTGGTGATGATTTTACAAATGTATATTTCAAAACTCCAAGTCGTACTTATCAGATTGTGCAGGTTTTTTAAGTGTCAATTGTACTTTTAAAAGTTTATAAAATAACAGCAGTGTAGGCATTGGAATCAGACTACTTTTGCTCAGATCTAGAGCACTCCAAACAAAACAGAACTTGGCCGGGTGCGGTAGCTCAAGCCTGTAATCCCAGAACTTTGGGAGGCCAAAATAGGCAGATCACTTGAGGTCAAGAGTTCAAGACCAGCCTTGCCAGCATGGTGAAACCCCGTCTCTACTAAAAATACAAAAATTAGCCCGGCATGGTGGTGTGCACCTGTAATCCCAGCTATTTGGGAGGCTGAGGCAGGAGAATCGCTTGAACCTGAGAGCTGGAGGTTGCAGTGAACCAAGATTGTGTCACTGCACCACAGCCTTCAACAAACTGGGACTCTCAAAAAAAAAAAAAAAATATATATATATATATATATATATGTAAAATATAACTCACCCTGCACAGAACCTATAACCTTCATCTCCTTTCAACACTTGCTACTTGAAGGTGCTTGTTTTTGCACTAACCGTTGGTCCTCCCTGACATCAGTTTAATCAACTCTCAGCAGCTCCTGTTAGCCCCACCTTTGAAACTCCTGAGCCTGAATCCATCTCACCACCTCCATTTGAACCATCCTGGTCCACATCCCATCATCTCTAATAAAGGCTCCACCTTTTTTCCTTTTTCCTACCCCTTCTCATCCCAACCCCCATGATATATCTTCAACACGGATGTCAGGGTGGTCCTTCAAAAACATAATTCACATCACATCATTTCTCAATACAAAATGCTCTAGTGTCTCCTCAGCTCAATCAGAAGACAAGCCAAGTCCTTGTGGGAGCAGATGCCACAGAATATCCTCCCACCCATGCTCATATGTTATCACCTTGGACTCTAAGCCACTGCCCCATTATTAACTGTCTGTCCACATTTCATCCACAAGCCATCACCACATTTCCCAGTTCTTGTGGTTCCTGGCTATGACTGCTTCTCATCTGGGGTACACATCTCTCCCAGTACTGTGTGGTGTGAGCTGAGGGACAAAAACCTAATGGTTAACAGAACCCATCTTCCTGCAGCCAATATTTGGGTGGAAGAAATGGCTTTTCATATTAAACTGAACCATTAAGCTAAATTGAAAATTTTCTTTGAGGCACATAGTCTTAATGATATGAAATTCCATAGTGAAGTACCTGACCCAGATGCAGATGATCCGAGGAAAATGAGAATCAGTTTCTTGACTCCAAAAATGCTCAGCCACAAGGAGGATATAAAAGGGCCACAAGAGTCAAAATTATGGGAAAGAGGATTTAGTGAGAAACATCTCTCTGGGGGAAAAACGAACATGGACATGTTGTCACTCCCACAAGGGTGAGGAGAGTGCCTGCCCCTCACTGCAAGTCTTCTTGGTGGGGCCATTGAAAGTTCAACATAAGACAGCCAGGACTTTAAACAAGCAGGATTCTTTGCAGTAAATCATAAAAGCTACTTTACATTGTCTTCCACTGGCTCTTTGAATCTGTTCATTCATTCACTTCTATTGGATAAGAATTTCATCTGTCGGATGAAGTTTCGTGGCTTTTCTGTCTATTTCTAGTTAACAGGAAGTTCTGTCACTTTAAGTTGCAAAGCCAAGTTTTGATTCAGCTATTAAAATGATCTACCCAATATAATAATCAGAACTTTTACTTGGCTTGATGCGGAAATTTTGACCCTTTAAGGACAAAAATCAACATGTATCTTCCATTAAGTTAGAGCTGGGCTGGTTCAAAGGCAGTACTGCATGAAGGTAACACAGGGTTTGGAATCAGACCAACTTGAGCTTAAAATTCCAGCTTGTCTTTATATTGTTGTGATACCTCAGACCTTTTCTGAACTTCAACTTCATCACCTCTACTGGATTTTTAATAATCTCTCTCTTATAAGGTTGTTGTGTGGATAAAGCTATATAAAACTAACACATCTGTGCAAAGGACATAGGCAACCATGTCACAAAATAGAAGTAGACGTGATGATCAATCAAGAAATATTAAAAGTGTTTGACTTAGCTAATAAGCAAAGAAATACAAATTAAACAATGCAGTGCACCTTTTTATCTAAAATATTGGTAAAAACAAATAACAATTTATTATATTCATGTCACAAGATGCAAGAGTAAGATGAGACAGGCACTATGATAAAAGCAGTTCAGACTCTTTGAGTTTCCATACTTTGAAATAGTAATATTATCATCAGAAGGAGACATCAAGAGATCTAGGTATAAGGATGTTGATTGCAGCATAATTTACAATAGCATTAACCAAGCTAAGTTTCCAACAAAGGAGAAGATTTGCATAAATTATGATTCCTCCAATGACAGAATACTAGAAGGTCATTAAATATTATTTCAAATGCTATTTACTGACATGATAAATTGTTAATGATACATTATTAATTGAAAACAGTGAGACACAAAACTGAACATAACAGTAAAATCTCAATGAGGCAAAATAAATGACGTATATAAGGCTGTTTGAAAGGATAATTTATTGGTATATTAATTTGTATTTTATTTTATTATTATAGAAGGAGCAGAAGGAATTAGAGCAATTTTTCTCTGCTTTGCTTCTATCCCTGCCCCTCCCACTTCATTATACACACACCCAGACACACCTACACAGTGGTAAGCAGCACTTATGCCCTAGAAAGTTTATGCTCTTCTTTCTCCCAAGATATTTTCTTTCAAAAAATAGGCAAACTGTCATAATGGTTGGCTGGGAAGTTCTCTGTGGCTTGGAGAATGGGGATAGGTAAAATGGCCTGAGCCAGGAAACCTCCAGGGAAGATGGGGAGGGAACCAGAGGAGAAGCCTTGGATTAACCCATCCCCAATACACTGGCCCCTCAGGAAGGCTTGGCCATAGGCATGGGGTCTCTCATGCTCGGAAAACATATCATCATGCCTGAGGCCCAAAGTGGCTTGGAGTTAATGTTATTGAGTGCCTACAGAAGTCTTTCTTTTTATGATGATGATGATGGTGACAAATAAAATGTTATATATTTATGATGTACAACATGACATTTTGATATATGTATACATTGTGGATTGGTTAAATCAAGCTAATTAATTGATCCATTATCAATTTTTTTGTGATGAGAACATTTAAAATCTTTCTTAGCATTCTTCAAATATTCAATACATTCTTGTCAGCTATCGTAACCATACTGTACAATAGATCCCCTGAACTGGTAATTCTTTCTAACTGAAATTTTGATTCCTTGGACCACCATCTCCCCAACCCCCCACTGTCACTCTGGCCCACGGCATCTCACCCTTCTTCTCTCTGCTTCTATAAGTTCAACTTTTTTGGATTCCACATGCAGTCACACATTGCTTAATGACAGGGATATGTTCTGAGAAATGTGTTGTTAGATGATTGTGTCATTGTGAGAACATCATAGAGGGTACTTACACAGACCTAGATGGAACAGCCAACTGCACACCTAGGCTATATGGCATAGCCTACTGTTCTTAGGCTACAAACCTATACAGCATGTTACCGTACTGACTATTGCAGGCAACTGTAACCCAATGGTATTTGTGTATCTGAATATAGCTAGACATAGAAAAGGTATAGTAAAAATATGCTATGAAAGATAAAAAATTGTACAACTGTATAGGACACTTACGATGAATGGAGCTTGCAGAACAGGAAGTTGCTCTGGGTGAGTTAGTGGGTGAGTGTTGAGTAACTGTGAAGGCTCAGGACATTACTGTACACTACTATAGAGGCTATGAACACTAAACATAGGCAACACTAAAATTTATTTTTAAAATTTTTCTTCAAAAATAAATTAACTTTAACTTATTATAACTTTTTTACTTTATAAACTTAACTATTTTAACTTTTTGACTCCTATAGTAACACTTAGTTTACAACACAAACACAATGTATAGCTATACAAAATATTGTTTTCTTTATATACTTATTCTATAAGCTTTTTTCTATTTTTAAAATTTCTTTAAAACTTTTTTGTTAAAAACTAAGACACTTAGGCCTACACAGGGTCAGGATCAACAATATCACTCTCTTCCACCTCCACATCTTGTCTCACTAGAAGGTCTTCAGGGGCAATAGCATGCATGGAGCTGTCATCTTTTATGATGACAATGCTTTATTCTGGAATATCTCCTGAAAGATCTGCCTCAGGCTGTTTTACAGTTAACTTTCTTCTTTGTAACTAGAAGAGGTACACTCTAAAATAACAATAAAAAAATACCATAGTAAATATATAAACCAATAGTATAGTCGCCTATTATTATTCTCAAGTATTATGGACTGCACCTAATTGTATGTACTCTACTTTCTTTACATGACTGGCAGCACAGTAGGTTTGTTTATACCAGCATCACCATGAACATTGGAGTAATGTACTGCACTATGACATTAGGATGGCTACAAAGCCATTAGGTGACAGGAATTTCTCAGCTCCACTAAAATCTTATGGGACTGCTGTTGTACATAGGGTTCATGGTTGACAGAAGCATAATTCTGTAACACAGAAGTGTATAAGTGAGGTCATGCCATATTTGTCTTTCTACGCCTAGCTTATTTGACTTAACATAGTGTCCTCCAGGCTCATCCATGTTGTCAATAACAAGATTTCCTTCCTTTTTAAGGCTGAATAGAATTCCTTTGTGTAGATAGACCACATTTTCTGTATCCATTCAACTACTGATGGACACTTAGGTTGATTCCATATCTTGCTATTGTGAATAGCGCTGCAATCCACATGAGAGTGCAGATATCCCTTTGATACACTGATTTCATTTCCATTGGATGTATACCCAGTAGTGGGACTGCTGAGTCTACAGACATCTTTCTATGATTGATCTTGTTAGTGTAAAATCCAGGAACCTTTGCATATCCTTCAGGAGGGCAGAAAGGAAGCAATCCTATTATAACTGAGATCAAGTTTCTTGCCATCCCTTTAATTGGGTAAATTTAATTTGTTTTAAGATAATATCTATAAAGCATCCAAAGCAGGGCCTGGCACACAGTAGGCACTCAGCAATGTGTCTTCCCTTGCTTCTGAGGGCAACCCCTCGGCTTGCTATTCTTGCCATGCCCACAGCAAGCAGAAACCTAAACATGGGGAGGCACTTGTTCAGATCCCCATGGGCCTCACACAGTGGGCTTTTCAGCAATTCTTGAGTAAGAGGAGTATCAGGCGTGAAAGTACCCAGAAGGTTCAGCCCCTCATTGCCTCAGTAGCTGACAAGCTGGCCTCTAGGGCTGCTGGAAACTGCATCCTAGTTCCAATCACTGGCAGTTAAACTGCCTCCTCACTTTCCTTTCCAAAACTGCATAATATTCATTTGGGATTCTCCAGCCACCTCTAAGAGACAGCTGCCTCAATGTATGTAGCATCCCCTGGTTTGAGGCAGTAGGAAAGAGAATGAAAGCTGAGACTACAGTCTCTGTAAACCCTCAAACATCCCTTAAGACACTCACAGAAAGAGGTTCTGGTGGTTTGAACTATCTCCTGCCTCTGCTTCTCTGTTCCAGCTTTGAAAGGACCCTTCCTGGGGAGCTCCACCAGGGGCCTGTAATTTCCCATGCTGTGTGAAGGCAGCAGCCACGTGTGAATGTGTGTGTGTACATGTGCGTGCAGGCGCGCTTGCTTCTCCTCTGTGTGGTGCATAATGATTATCCAGACTGGCGAAGGAGGTGTAATAACAGGGTAGAAGGCACAGATAATAGGGCCTTTCTGGCACAAGCAGCAAGTTCATCTGAATCCACCAGAATCCATTTGCTGGAAGACAGATGGATAGGAATGCGGAAAGGTAGACACCAACCTTTAGTTTTCAAATACATTTGCTGCATATGGTAATTAAAGCTATTTTTAAAACTCCCTAAGTGTCAGCACTCCCTTTCCCAAGCATTTTTCTGTCAAAACTCTGCAAAACGGCAATACACTTGTTGGGAACAATTGATTCATATCTAAAAACATGGAGTCTGATTCCATAGCAATGGCAGGTTGTCTGTCTACAGGGAGTTGGAACTTGAACTGTAGAGGATCTGGAGTGGC